>NC_000003.12:132493452-132644967 GCF_000001405.40 Homo sapiens | reverse complement strand
TTCAGTAGGATTTGGGGATGACGGAAAACATATCTTTGTAATTGACCTTTTTTTTTTTTACTTTTATCTAGAGCAGGAAAGTCCAATCCAACCTTTTATCTCCAGAAGGGCTTTCAAACATATGTGCTCAGGAAAAAACCACCAGGTTCACTTCTTCCTAAAGCACATCAGGTATAGTATACAAATGTAATGATAAATTCTTTGGTGACAAATAAATGCTTTTAATACACACAAAGCCAATTTACTTTTAAAAGGCATCTTATGATTGCCAAATAATATAAAATATATTTTATTTCTAATGAAAATTTCCCTTGAATTATATCTTTTTTTGTTTTAAAAAATTATTTGAGGTTGAAATGTAAGTCTATCTTTAGGCTATTAATCTTGAACAACACCCAGTTCTTTTGTGTATTTGATTTTCCTCTACGTTGTTTGCTAGAAGTAAAATCAGCCAATGAATATTTTCAGTGCTACTCATCTGTAGATATTTTGTTTTGTTATATATTTAAATTATTATATGTAATAGTATCTACTCAGAATTATTTTAATATATTTGCTATGACAATCCTCTAATCTTTTGGTGATAAAAAGAAAGATTTGAATAAGTATTTTATAGTACTCTCTAAATATTAGACAGTGAGAATTCTAAAAGATTTTTGTTGAAAACTAGGTTTTTCTGTCTTGAGAAAACAGGTATTATCTATGGATTTTCAGAGAACAGGAGGGGACAGAAATCAAAGCACTGGGGAACATTAAAAGCACTGTGCGTATTTAGGGTATAGCCGTAATCATGTACAGCAGGTGCTTCCCAGGCCCAGGTCACTGGGGAAGGACAATTGTGGGGTAGGCTTAATACCACAGTAATAGAGAATGTAGATTCTATGGGACTTTCTTGGTCCCATATCATATTCCCAGAAACATGAAGTAAGTTGGATGCTTAAGATAAAAAAAAGTTGGGTAACTTTTATTAAATATCGATATAGTATGGCTGAAGGAAAATCCCCACCCGTGCCCCAATAAACAGTTTTATTTGTCTCTTTTCTTGATAACATCCCACCTGAACACACCAGAACAGGGCATAATGCTCTCAGCCCAAGTACAGCTGCCAAGGATCTGGAGTACTCTGTTTCAACTCCCTTCTGTTTTCTCAACTCTGCATTGAAAAAAGCAATGCTCCAGCTCTGTGATCCACTTTTTGCTTCTCTAACCCTTTTGCCCTCTCCCCCTTACCCCCTCCCCCTCGTTTCCCAACACCTGAGTGGTTAACACTTCTTTCCACAGCCCTTGGTACTGCTGGCTGCTCTCACCTTGAACATGGGTTTCGTTACTTTCCTCTTCCAGTTATTGCCACAGCCCCTGCTTTACTTCCTGATGTCAAAATGAGCTGCATAGCTTCCCCTCCTTAGAATGGTCAGTCACCATTGCCTGAGTCTGGGGCCAGGTGACTACATGTAGATAAGCCATCCTTACTTGGCCTGCATCAACAGCTCTGCCCTTGGGTCCTGAGTGATAGCCTGTGCATCTGTCCTAATTAAGGAAGCCATTTTTTCCTCACTGTCTTATTTAGGCTCCAGTTTGCTTCTAGCTGCCTACTTTCCTGCTAGTTATCTTGAGCTCCACAGCAGTCCTGAGTGCCAGGAAAGATCCCCATGCCCCTGCCCTGGAAACACATGCCTCCCTTGCTCTCCAGAAGGAGCAGGTACTTTTCCTTCCACCACCACTCACCTCTCACCCCCAGCTCTTTGTAGCTGACTGTGGCAGAGTGCTAGAATAGAGACTTACCTGAGCTTCCTTGGAAGACATGAAAGAGCGAGCAGCCAGCCAGGGAACTGCTGTGGAAAAAGGGATGTTTTATGATAAAATATGTGAAATATTGTGAACAGTAACTATTGCCTTCACATTATCAGAGCCAGGATTAAGTCTCATGCAGGTGCTCATCTTCTTATCCTAATTAAATTACATTTTTTAGTAGTGGTCTAATTTATAATCATAGTGATTACACCAAGATTACTATTAGGGAAGTTATTACTATTATCCTCTGGAGTTTGTGTTGATACTGTTTTACAGTTGTTTTCTAGCCTTAAGATTAGCTCATAAGTAGTTATTAAATTTAATTACAATTAAATCAGTTTCTCTGATTTTTAATGATTCATCATCCTATTTAGATTGATAGAGAATTTAAAGTCCAGAAAGCCTTGTTTTCAATTGGATTCCCCGTTCCCAAGCCTATACTGTACTGCAGTGATACTTCTGTCATTGGAACAGAATTTTACGTAATGGAACATGTGCAGGTAAATTAACACTTAATCTTATTTTGTTGCTTTTACTTTTAATTATGAAGTTAATTAAGATGTTTTATTATGATACTTAATAAATGATATAGTTTGTTATTTAACATTTTAGGTAATTAGATTGCATTGCAAAGGTTTACAATTTTGTTCAAATTTGAGCACTTACAAAGGGAGGGATGGAATAGACAAGAAACAAATTTAGTAATTAGGGGGTATTGACTTATTCTTAAATTTTCCTCTAGGTGTCAGTAAAGAGCTATCTGTAATGGCAATAACCAAATTGTCCATAAGGTAGCAGGGAAAACAGACTCCACATAGGTCAAGCCATTAAGAACAATAAATTCAAAATGTGTTTTAAATTTTTTCTGTAAAATAGTTGAGAGTAGTTTTGATGTTTATATTCATCTTGGCATATCCTTTTATTTTCCCTTTGGCATGTATACTCTAATATTAAATATGTTTCACAAATGAATGTTTTTCTAGTATATTCGACAAAGTATTGATTATACACATTTAAATAATCTGTTGTAATCACTTCCATAGGGTCGAATCTTCCGTGATTTAACAATTCCTGGACTTAGCCCAGCAGAACGTTCAGCCATATATGTGGCCACGGTAGAAACATTGGCTCAGTTACATTCCTTGAATATACAGTCACTGCAGCTGGAAGGATATGGTATAGGTGCTGGGTACTGCAAAAGACAGGTAATGCATCCACATTAATAGCTATTTTTTTCAAGTTCTTGTAAATAATATACCTTATTAGTCAACAAAAAAAGCTATTATTGTATAGTTTTCTGAAGCTTGGCCATGACTTTTAACATTGTCCTTCAGAATGACTAGTTTTTAGTATAAAATTATCTTATGTTTTTATATTAGGTTTTGTTCAGCAAAATCTTCTGTTTTAGACTCTTAATTTTCCAATACTTTTAACTATACAGTTTTTTCTTCTTCTTCTTCTTCTTCTTCTTCTTCTTCCTCTTCCTCTTCCTCTTCCTCTTCCTCTTCTTCCTCCTCTTCTTCCTCCTCTTCTTCCTCTTCTTCCTCCTCTTCTTCCTCCTCTTCTTCCTCCTCTTCTTCTTCTTCTTCTTCTTCTTCTTCTTCTTCTTCTTCTTCATCATCATCATCATTTTGAGACAGAGTCTCCCTCTGTTGCCCAGGCTGGAGTGCAGTGGTGCAATCTCTGCTCACTGCAAGCTCCACCTCCCAGGTTCACGCCATTCTCCTACCTCAGCCTCCCGAGCAGCTGGGACTACAGGCTCCCGCCATCACGCCCTGCTAATTTTTTTGTATTTTTAGTAGACATGGGGTTTCACCGTGTTAGCCAGGATGGTCTCAATCTCCTGACCTCGTGATCCGCCCGCCTCAGCCTCCCAAAGTGCTGGAATTACAGGCGTGAGCCACCATGCCCGGCTTACAGTTTTTTCTTTCTCAATTGGACTAGCAGACATTTATTAAGCTTGACTGTGTGTTTAATACCTGCTGAGTACTGTGTTAAATATCAAGAAAAATATACAATAGGTTCTTCCCCACAGGAACTTATGGTCATTTTTGAGAGACCTGTACATGCATGTCATTCACGAAACCTGAAAATGGTATAAAAGAGTGTAAAATCTAGTGGTAAATTGTTTGATACTCACCATGATTCAAAGGGTGGAAGTTGGGATGCCCTTGCTTATATAGAGAAAGCTTCCTGGGAGAGATATCTTATAATGAGTATTTAAGGAAAGATAAAATTTGGAGTGATGGAGATCATTTTAAATTAAAGGAAAGCAATACTAGATATATATGGGGCTGCTTTCCTTTGTAAGCATATCATTTTGTGGGGGTTAAGGAAGAGAAAAGGGAACTAAAGTTTAGAGTGTACTCACTATATGCTAGGTCCTACATGGCAGAGTGAGTTGTCGGCCTCTCTTTTTTGATCTTTACAACAACTCTAAGATATAGGTATTATTACTCCCATTTTGCAGATGAAGAAAGGGAGGCTTGCATCAATCAAGTAATACACAAGTAAGTGGCTTAGATATAATTTAAACCCAGGTTGATATGACTAGATAAGACCAAGTAAAGGTCTTTGCTCTATTGCACTAAGTTGAGCAAAGATACCTCGGGAAATGGAGATAAAAAAGCAAATAAACAATATGGTCCCACCTGTTGGAGGACTTTACGAGTAAGTTGATTTGTTTGCATTCAATTCTAAGAACAATAGAAGATCTTTACACTATTCATACCTGTAAAATATTTAGAAAATTCTGTGGGTAATAAGAAAGAGTATTAAAATGAAAAGTAGGCTGGGCGCGGTGGCTGAAGCTTGTAATCCCAGGACTTTGGAAGGCCAAGGCAGGCGGATCACGAAGTCAGGAGTTCGAGACCAGCTTGACCAATATGGTGAAACTCCGTCTCTACTAAAAATACAAAAATTAGCTGGGTGTGGTGGTATGCATCTGTAATCCCAGCTACTTAGGAGGCTGAGGCAGGAGAATCACTTGAACCTGGGAGGTGGAGGTAGCACTCCAGCCTGGGCAACAGAGCGAGACTCTGTCTCAAAAAAAAAAAAAGTAAATGTCTTCTTTTTTCTTCTAGTCCCCATATTCCCTTTTTCAGGGGTTACTTATTTCTCGTGACCCTTTCCAGAGATTATCTATGCCTATATATTTGTGTGTGTGTGTGTGTGTGTGAGAGAGAGTGTGTGTGTGCGTGTGTGTGTTTGTATGCATTCTTTTTTTTTCTTCTACAAAGTAGTTGCTGAATAAAGACTAGAACCCATATCTCTTGATCCCTAGGCCAGTATTTTTCTCTTGATAAAAAACTAGGTAAGTAAAATGGAACTATATGGAAAAGAGACTTAAATGTTTAAGGTTTAGGCTGATTTGAGTGTTTTAGGATGACAGGAGTATCACCAGCATGGGTCTTAAGTATTTAGGAGTAAAACAGCATTTGAATTTTGTTTTAATTTTAGAATTGCTAGATCCTACATTCCAGTTTCAGCTTTACCATTTTTCTTATTTATATGTCTTTAGGTATCAACCTGGACAAAGCAATATCAAGCTGCAGCTCATCAGGACATCCCTGCCATGCAACAGCTATCGGAGTGGCTAATGAAGAACTTGCCCGATAATGACAATGAAGAGAATTTGATTCATGGAGATTTCAGACTAGATAACATAGTTTTCCACCCTAAAGAGGTACAGTTAGCTATGTTTACAATTAATTGAGTAGGTCTGTTTTGTGACACAGTACTAAGTAAATGCTCCCCCCAGAGCACTGAGGGAGCCCAACCCACTCCCTGTTCCCCTACAGCTCAGGACTGTCGTCACCACTCAAAATTTTTAGAAAGGAGTCCTGCAGATTTTCCAGCATAAGTTAGCTGCCTACCTTTGAGACTGGTTCTAATCCCAAGTGGTATCTGGTTTACTGCTTAAAAGGATTTGGGAATTTTACATGCATGATGCTGTTTTCTTCAAATAAGTTTTCATCTACTAGTTACAATATTTAGCTTATCCATGTTCTTGCTGTTTTTTCTGGTTCATTTATACTTCTTTGGGGTTTTTAGCCCTATCTCATGAAGAATTTATTATTTGTTTATTATAAACTCTGAGAATAGAGAATTCCAAAAGCTTCTTGAGGCTTCAAAAGAATTACATGAGATTAATATAACCTTGCTCAATGTAAATGTGCATACTGTATTCTTTATAAAGAGTATAAACAAATGAAAGCTGTAATCCTCCACTGAGCACCTACAATGAGGCCTAGGATTACAGTATAGTAGGAATGAATCCTGCTTCTGAGAGGAGGATTTTCTGGGTTCATTAGTTTCTTAGAATGCTAAGATGTTTTAGGGCAGGAAGAGCTAGTGGCACTGATGAATTCTGAATTCTAACCTTGTTAATTATCTACCCTGAGATTAGAAAAATTAAATATGCTAATTTATAATCTAGATAATTATAAAAGCATATGCCTGAAAACATAGCAGGATCTGGCCTGTATTTGATCTGTGTCATTTAATTAATATTTTAGTCGAGTCTACATAATATTGAGTCTCTATAGTAGATAACAAATTAGAACCCACTAGACTTGGAGTTCCTTTAAAACAATGACTGTATCTTATTCATCTTTATATTGCAGGTGCTTATATGATTCTGATGAATCTATGTTGAAGGGATTAATTTTAGTTAATTATTCACTAGCAACTATTTCCATCTCATAAATTTATGCTTAACTTTCATTCCCTAGCAGTGTGAACTTAAAGCATGTTATTCAATCTCTCTCTGTGCCTCTATTTTTATTTTAACTTTTTGTTTTGAAATAATTAGAGTCCCCAAAAAAGTTGTAACAGTGTTATAGTACAGAGAAGTCCTGTGTATCCATCATCCAAATTCTGCAAAATGGATATTATACAACTATGGTACATTATCAAAGCCAGGAAATTGACATTGTGTACCTTTTAAAATTGAAAAAAAAAATTCTGAGTTGCTGGGCAGCTAAAATGAAACAGTCAATGTGGAGCAACTAGCTGGTACCTGGCACATCAATGATGCTCAGTTTATTTCAGGTACCCTCATTTTTCCATTTTTTCCCCTTCATTTTTCTCTCTGACTTTTCTTAGACTACTTGTCAAGCTTCTTCAGAAAAATATTAGGGTATAAGTAAATGCTTCATAATATGTACGAAAACCTAAACAGTGGTTGTAGGGGATAGAATTATAGGAGACATAATTGTACATTTCTGTAATGTTTAGGGTTTGATGTTTTTTGGTTTTTATTTTTAAAACAACAGCATGTTTAATTTTTGTCATCAGAAAACACAACAATTAAGAAAGAAGAATAAACAATTTTAAATGACAAACCTTCCAGGAATGTGTGGAGTAAGCCAGTAAAGGAAACTACAGGATATGGCAAAACGAAATTATTTTCTGTTACTTATTTACAAAGTATTTAAAGCATGTTTGGGCAAGTATTTCAGTAGCACAATAGGCTCACTGCAATGTTGAAAAGAAATCCAGTTTTCCTGGAAAATGTTGATTTTCCAAATATAAATTTTACCAGTAGAGAAATGTTTAAGATCTTGGAGTTTAATGTAAAATCTGCATATTGTCATTTCAACTTGAAAAATATATTTAATTAGAAACATCCATTGGAACTTGTCAACTTCAGTGATCTAGAAATTGAAACCCCTTATTTTTGACCTCACCCTCTTTACCTTCTGTTCTTTTATTTCTCTGCATCTTCCCTGAGACACTGCAAATTTGATTGCTGTTAATTTAGAATCCATAAGCCCTTCATGACTTCACTTGACTTCTTATCCTACATAAGCCACATGGTCATAATCAGTCATCTCAAAAACTACCTTTAGTATCAATTTCATTAATAATTTTTTGACTATAGATGTATGCAAGTAATGTAAGAATTATAAAGTGTCCTGACCTTAGGTTACTTATTATTCTAGAATCTTCCCACCCTGACTTTATATCATCATTATTATTATTATTTTACTTTTTATTTTTTCTAATAACCCTACAGGGGATGTCCATCACCCCTTGACTTTAACCAGTTTCTAGCCCTAAACTTGAATCCTCATATTTTTGCTGCAGAATAAAGTCGTGAAGTAAGGTTAATTGGATCTGGGACATTTTTATGCCACATGATTTTATCTAGGCTGTAACTTCATCTCTTAGTAAAACCTGTGACATTTAAAAAATGGCTTTTCTAAATCTTTTCCCTTCTTCTCAAACTCTCACATTTCTTGTCCCATCTCGGTTCCCACTCTCAGCATGTGGTCTTGTCTTCTACCTAACTCATCTTTGTCCTTTCAGTCATTTTCCAGCATAGCCTGCTTTCTAGGAATTACACCATGCCCCTCAAAGTTCTCTTTATATTGTTGAAGACATTTTCGTCCGCTACACAATATCACCTGTATGCAGATTGATGGGTGATATTTTTCTTTAGCCTCATTGCCAAGAAAATTTGTCCCTCTTGAGCAGCTGGTTTGTTTTTGACCTGCATACACTATAAAGATTGTGACTGACCATGCTTCACACTTTATTTTACCCGCTATAAAATTCAAAGCAAATTTTACTACCCACACTAACAACTATGCATGTCCTATCACATTCAATTATGTGTAATAACCTTACTCCTAGCTTCATCTTTTCATTACAAATTCTATTATTTTCTTCCCTGCCTTCTTCATCTACTGTTTGTTCTGTTGGATTGTATGTATTTTTTGTTTGTTTCGAATGCCAATACACATACATATTAATAAAATTCAATGGTGTAAAAAGTATACATAAAATGAATCTCTTTATAAAGAAGATAATTTAAAAAACTAAAAGCTTTCTGTTGAGCTGAGGTTTCAGAAAAACTATCAAAAATAATTTTACTAATAAGTTCCCTAGCAGCAGTAAGACGAACTAGTAAATGTCCAGATCAACCACTAAAAGTTATGTTGAGCTTTTAATAACTCTCAACACAAACAGGCATCAACAGGACTCTAATTAGCTATTGCTAATTAATTTGCACTAATTTATGCAATTTGATGAGCCATCAGCTTTTCTCACTGGCTGTTGTTTTATAGCTTTGTGTTTTTACCCCAAAAATGGTTCAGATATTCTGAAAAGTAACTCCAGAGAAGTTTCCCAATTGTATTAAAAAAGAAAAGTAATCATTTATAGCATAAGTAAGTGCCTCATCTTTACTTTGGATGTTAAAAGCATAGATAACAAATAGAATGATGTAAGAGAAAAATGCATCCATCCTCTTCAGTAGTTTCACAAATCTAGCTAGTATAGTAATTTATAATACTTATAATATTATAAATTTATAGTATAATATAACCACAATAAAAGCTCTTATAAAGTCATAGAGAAAGGAGTGATCAATTTTTTTCCACAGTAACAATGGCAAAGTTTTGATTGCCTTGCTATATATGCCAAGCTCTGAACATATTCATCAAATAAATACATATTGGCCATCTGTTGTGTGCCAGGTTCTTTGCTAGAAACTCATACATGAACTATATGTGCTACCCGCCCATTTAATCTTCAAACTAACCCTGTGTAAGAGGTGTATATTATGGCTGAGAAAATTGAGGATTAGAGAGGTTAACTAACTTGTCCAGAGTTATACAGCCAGCAAATGGTAGAGCTAGGGTCTGAATACAGGCCTGTCTGATTCCAAAGCCCATATTTCCACACAAAGCTACAAGAATGTGTGTAAGTTTGCCAGAGGAGCAAGGGAGTGCAAGCACACACAGTTATATGGAGGCATGAAACCCAGTAACTCATATTACCCAAATGGGGTCTGCAGTTTTATGTAGCTTGGATAACTTGCCTAGAGTATTGCTGCAGCTGCCTCACTGCCCACCCCCCATAGTATATTGAAATCATAGTAGCCAGAGTGACCCTCTTAAAATACAGATCATGTCATATCACTCCTATATATAGAACCCTCCAGTGAAGGTTCCCCTCTCTGGACCTCATCCATCCTGCCTTAATCCCTTAAAGTAACCACAGCCATTTCTGTTAGTTTGGTGCAATACCTTTTCAACTTTGAGTATTCATTTATAATCTTTTTCTTTATTTTTTTATTTTTTTATTATTTTTATTTTATATATATTTATTTTTTATTGTACTTTAAGTTCTAGGGTACATGTGCACAGCGTGCAGGTTTGTTACGTATGTATACATGTGCCATGTTGGTGTGCTGCACCCATTAACTCGTCATTTAGCATTAGGTATCTCTCCTAATGCTATCCCTCCCCACCCCCCCACCCCACAACAGGCCCCAGTGTGTGATGTTCCCCTTCCTGTGTCCAAGTGTTCTCATTGTTCAATTCCCACCTATGAGTGAGAACATGTGGTGTTTGGTTTTTTGTCCTTGCGATAGTTTGCTGAAAATGATGGTTTCCAGCTTCATCCATGTCCCTGCAAAGACATGAACTCATCATTTTTTATGGCTGCATAGTATTCCATAGTGTATATGTGCCACATTTTCTTAATCCAGTCTATCATTATTGGATATTTGGGTTGGTTCCGAGTCTTTGCTATTGTGAGTAGTGCCGCAATAAACATACGTGTGCATGTGTCTTTATAGCAGCATGATTTATACTCCTTTGGGTATATACCCAGTAATGGGATGGCTGGGTCAAATGGTATTTCTAGTTCTAGATCCCTGAGGAATCGCCACACTGACTTCCACAATGGTTGAACTAGTTTACAGTCCCACCAACAGTGTAAAAGTGTTCCTATTTCTCCACATCCTCTCCAGCACCTGTTGTTTCCTGACTTTTTAATGATCGCCATTCTAACTGGTGTGAGATGGTATCTCACTGTGGTTTTGATTTGCATTTCTCTGATAGCCAGTGATGATGAGCATTTTTTCATGTGTCTTTTGGCTGCATAAATGTCTTCTTTTGAGAAGTGTCTGTTCATATCGTTCACCCACTTGTTGATGGGGTTGTTTGTTTTTTTCTTGTAAATTTGTTTGAGTTCATTGTAGATTCTGGATATTAGCCCTTTGTCAGATAGGTAGATTGCACATGTTCTCCCATTTTGTAGGTTGCCTGTTCACTCTGATGGTAGTTTCTTTTGCTGTGCAGAAGCTCTTTAGTTTAATTAGATCCTATTTGTCAATTTTGGCTTTTGTTGCCATTGCTTTTGGTGTTTTAGACATGAAGTCCTTGCCCATGCCTATGTCCTGAATGGTATTGCCTAGGTTTTCTTCTAGGGTTTTTATGGTTTTAGGTCTAACATGTAAGTCTTTAATCCATCTTGAATTAATTTTTGTATAAGGTGTAAGGAAGGGATCCAGTTTCAGCTTTCTACATATGGCTAGCCAGTTTTCCCAGCACCATTTATTAAATAGGGAATCCTTTCCCCATTTCTTGTTTTTGTCAGGTTTGTCAGAGATCAGATAGTTGTAGATGTGTGGTATTATTTCCGAGGGCTCTGTTCTGTTCCATTGGTCTATTACTCTGTTTTAGTACCAGTACCATGCTGTTTTGGTTACTGTAGCCTTGTAGGAGCTGGTACCATTCCTTCTGAAACTATTCCAATCAATACAAAAAGAGGGAATCCTCCCTAACTCATTTTATGAGGCCAGCATCATCCTGATACCAAAGCCTGGCAGAGACACAACAAAAAAAGAGAATTTTAGACCAATATCCCTAATGAACATCGATGCAAAAATCCTCAATAAAATACTGGCAAACGGAATCCAGCAGCACATCAAAAAGCTTATCCACCATGACCAAGTGGGCTTCATCCCTGGGATGCAAGGCTGGTTCAACATACGCAAATCAGTAAACATAATCCAGCATAGAAACAGAACCAAAGACAAAAACCACATGATTATCTCAAGAGATGCAGAAAAGGCTTTAGACAAAATTCAACAACCCTTCATGCTAAAAACTCTCAATAAATTAGGTATCGATGGGACGTATCTCAAAATAATAAGAGCTATCTATGACAAACCCACAGCCAATATCATACTGAATGGACAAAAACTGGAAGCATTCACTTTGAAAACTGGCACAAGATAGGGATGCCCTCTCTCACCACTCCTATTCAACATAGTGTTGGAAGTTCTGGCCAGGCAATCAGGCAGGAGAAAGAAATAAAGGGTATTCAATTAGGAAAAGAGGAAGTCAAATTGTCCCTGTTTGCAGATGACATGACTGTATATCTAGAAAACGCTGTCGTCTCAGCCCAAAATCTCCTTAAGCTGATAAGCAACTTCAGCAAAGTCTCAGGATACAAAATCAATGTGCAAAAATCACAAGCATTCATATATACCAATAACAGACAGAGAGCCAAATCATGAGTGAACTCCCATTCACAATTGCTTCAAAGAGAATAAAATACCTAGGAATCCAACTTACAAGGGATGTGAAGGATCTCTTCAAGGAGAACTACAAACCACTGCTCAATGAAATAAAAGAGGACACAAACAAATGGAAGAACATTCCATGCTCATGGATAGGAAGAATCAATATTGTGAAAATGGCCATACTGCCCAAGGTAATTTATAGATTCAATGCCATCCCCATCAAGCTACCAATGACTTTCTTCACAGAATTGGAAAAAACTGCTTTAAAGTTCATATGGAACCAAGAAAGAGCCCGCATTGCCAAGTCAATTCTAAGCCAAAAGAACAAAGCTGGAGGCATCATGCTACCTGACTTCAAACTATAATCTTTTTCTTTAAGCATAAATTGGATCATACGCTATATACTATTCTACAAATTGATTTTTTGGCCATATGTACAGCCAAATGAACATAAGAAATGAACAAAAGAATGTCCTGTATTCTTAATATGAAGATATATATTCCCTTTGGGCGGCCAAGGCGGGCGGATCATGAGGTCAGGAGGTCGAGACCATCCTGGCGAACATGGTGAAACCCTGTCTCTAGTAAAAATACAAAAAAAATTAGCCGGGCGTGGTGGCGAGCACCTGTAGTCCCAGCTATTCGGGAGGCTGAGGCAGGAGAATGGTGTGAACCCGGGAGGCGGAGCTTGCAGTGAGCAGAGATCGCGCCACTGCACTCCAGCCTGGGAGACAGAGCGAGACTCCGTCTCAAAAAAAAAAAAAAATACATATATATATATTCCCTTGATACATACTGTTACAAGGTAGAATGAGGGAAGCTTTCTGTTTTATTGGTTCCACATTACATGATTGTTTTATGTTGCTATATAATGGTGGATTTTATATTTATAAAACTAACAGTATCTTTTATAACAATTATGCTTTGTATCTACAACATGAAATAACTTTTAAAAGTACCATGGATGGAGTAGTACATTTGTTATACAGTTAGATTAATTACTAAAGTAAATGTTTAATGATGCATAACATGGATTATTAAAATATAAGTAATTCACTATAATTCCTTTTTATCACAATTACTTCCAGTTGAGAAGTTTTAACTGCTTTTGCATCTGCTCATTAGCAGAGATATTAAGGCTGTGTAAAGTAAAATGAGAAGGACTGATGGCCAGCGATGGAACCAGAGGACTTAGCTCTATATAATCAAGGCTAATTGGCTATTTTATAAATGAGATATGCCACTGTGGGTAAAGACCTGAAATTGACTTTTGATGGAAAACATGATTTTGAATGTGTTCAATGTTATTTATTTCTTTATTATACTTGTTTTAAGTTTTAATGTGTTACAGACCTCTTTATTTTTAATTACAGTGTCGAGTTATAGCAGTGCTGGATTGGGAGCTGTCAACCATTGGTCATCCTTTGTCAGACTTAGCTCATTTTTCCCTGTTCTACTTTTGGCCAAGGACAGTTCCAATGATAAATCAAGGTTCTTATAGTGAAAACTCAGGTATAAAAACATAATGTTGTCTAAATTGCTATTAATATAAAACTGTCTTTATTACTTTCATAATTAAAATATAAATCTTGCAATTTTAGATAATAGTTTTTGTTTCTTAAACATTTCTATTTTATTATGATTTTTATTTTTATTTTATTTTTTTGTTGAAGATAATTCTTTTTTTTAATTTATTTTTATTATACTTTAAGTTTTAGGGTACATGTGCACAACGTGCACGTTTTTTACACATGTATACATGGGCCATGTTGGTGTTTTTTAGATGCAAGGTCTTGCTCTGTCACCCGGGCTGGAGTACAGTGCCACAATCATAGCTCACTGAAACCTTGAACTCCTGGGCTCAAGTGATTCTCCCACTTCAGCCTTCTGAGTAGCTAGGACTACAGGCACACACCACCATGCCCAGCTAATTTTTTTATTTTTTGTAGAGATGGTGTCTCACTATGTTACCCAGGCTAGTTTTAAGCTCCTGCTGTCAAGTGATCCTCGGCCCCCGCAAAGTGCTAGGATTATAGGCATGAGCCATCGTGACTGGCCTATTTCATTTTCTTCGTTAAATTTTCTGAACTTAGCATGCCACTTTTAGTAATTTACGACCAAATATAATCCTTTGTATATAATAATCTTTTGGAAATCAAGATTTAGAACATGTTTTGTTGTAAGGGCTAATGGTTATTACATTCCGTTTTACATATGCGTCTCAGTCTCATAACATTTTGAAATATTCACCACGACATTTTAATTAAAGTTTATATTACATGCTGTTTTTATAGGGATACCATCAATGGAAGAACTGATTTCAATATATTGCCGCTGCAGGGGAATTAATTCTATTCTTCCTAACTGGAATTTCTTTCTTGCCCTTTCATATTTTAAGATGGCTGGAATAGCACAGGTAATTAATTGTTTTAAACGTGTGTTTCGCCATTATTTACCAGTGTACTGTTGACAATGTTTTCCAGTCTTCCGGGTTTTATATTCTTTATCCTTAGATCATTTGGCTTATCATAATGACAGGTATCAGACATAGGTAAAATATAAATCCAGAATTTACAGAATAGGAATTTGGCAAGGAAAAAATTTGAGTAGCAAAATGTATTATCAGTTTTTTGTATAATAAACTTACAAGATGGATGGAGGAAGAATGACATAATGTTAAAAAGGATTAGTAAGGATTAGTCATTTCCTGAATATCCAGTGTGAGAAAAAGCTAAAATCTTTTGATGATCTCTGCCTCAGACTATGAAACCATTTATTAGTTAGGGTTGATGATGAGGGAAGAATTATCTTTATACTTCCCAGAGGCTAGCACAGTATCTAGTATACAGTAACCTCTTAAAATGTTTTTGAGTAAGTAGATGAGTAAGATTTTTTTATTTTCATCGTCATATTTGTGTGATTAATTTTGAAAGATAATAGAGCATAAATTTAGGGTTTTTTTCTAATTACATTGTAATCTAAACAAATGGCTTCTTCTTTATACTAATCCAGTTTTCAGGCACTTTGAATCTTGGAGATTTAAGAAATTGAGATGCTTCATCAATAGCAAGGGGCTAGGGTTTAGAAGAAAAACAGGTAAATAAGTTTAGAAGTGAAAAATAATGGGAAAAGAAGGATTAAGGAAAATTATGATAATTTATTTTCTGTCCTCAGAGTTCATGCTATCCATGAACAACTGAAATAGTTGTGTTACATCTCATCTTGTACCCTGAGTTAATCATGTTAAAAGAATGGGTTTCTCAAAATGGGTATGTCTCTGTGTTTGACAGTTTCCACAAATAAGATACCAAATAGGCTTTAAATTTGAAATGGCTTTTCATTTCCAATAAAAGTTTGACATGGATTATGATTGACATTAAAATGTACAACATAGGCCAGGCACGGTGGCTCACGCCTGTAATCCCAGCACTTTGGGAGGCCGAGGTGGGTGGATCACCTGAGGTCAGGAGTTCGAGACCAGCCTGGCCAACATGGTGAAACCCCGTATCTACTAAAAATAAAAAATTAGCCAGGTGTGGCGGCATGTGGGCCTGTAGTCCCAGCTACTCAGGAGGCTGAGGCAGGAGAATTGCTTGAACCTGGGAGGTGGAGGTTGCACTGAGCTGAGATCATGCCACTGCACTCCAGCCTGGGCGACAGAGTGAGGCTCCATCTCAAAAAAATAATGTACAACATAAACTATATATACTGTACATGTAGTAGCTTTGGAGATGGTCATAAACATTCCAATCTAATTGGAAATATAAAATTGAATATGATGGAAGAACTATTACAGTGTTTTATTTATTACAGTGTTTTATTATATAAGGAATTATATAAAGAAGACACAGTGATGTTTGTTTTTAGGGAAGAGGAAGGAGTTTATTATGTTGAAAGTACAGAAATGGAGAATTATCAAAGAAACACTGATTAGCATTCAACTAACACTGTTTGAAAGAGACAGTTTTACCTGCATTAGGGACCCAAAAATGAGATAAAATGTTCTTAGAGATCGTCTCATTGTCTTCCTTTTGATTTTATAGTTTTTTAAATCTTATTTTTGTTTCTTTAGATTTTCCCCCATTATGAAGGAGGGTAGTGATCTTTAGAGGTGAAATAACTTGCAGACTTGGTATCTTTGGTAACTGCTGAGATCATTTGCAAGTTTGATTTGATTATAAATTAGAATTATGTTAGGATGAGAGTATGTGAACTGTATGATATGAGTATGACTCTTTAGAAGGGTGTAATTACCCCTGCATGTACATTAATATCGTCGATAGTCTGTTTTACGTCTTCATACCCTGTGAGTATAATGTCACATATAACTGAGAAACTGGAAAGATTGATTGGATTGTTGAAGGACGGTTTTCAATGAATTTTAATTGTTCTATGTTTATTTATAGGGAGTATATAGCAGATATCTTCTGGGAAATAATTCATCTGAGGATAGCTTTTTATTTGCCAATATTGTGCAACCTCTGGCAGAAACTGGACTACAACTCTCCAAACGGTAAGGAAAACAGATTCCTTGGCTAACTCAAATTAGAGCCTTTATTGGGTATGTGAAGGTTATACACTTTAGGGGAGTAGGGATTATTTTTATTGCATACACCAGGATTGCTGCTGCCAATCACAATAGATTTTTGGTAAATCTCTTCTATGCCTAAAAACAAATTGACCTAAAATATAAAGAAAATCTCCGTATTTAGGTTTAAAAGTATTTTTGTGCCACTTGATTGTGTAAATGTTTAAGGATATAGATAAAACTCTCAAGTGTTTCTTTCTAATATTTAAGTCACTTACATATATCTAATTTTAAAAATGCATTATATAAGATGATTTATTAATTTAGAAATATTGTTCTTTTCCACTGTTACATTTCATGAAGTTATATTCAGACATTTCATAAGCATCTTTGAAACCCATGTCTTCATCAGCAGAGCACTTTTTCAGGCATCGAACACACTTTGCCAGTTTCATTCCCATTGCTTACCAGATGCATGTGTGATGCTGTCCCAGAAATTCTGCTTAACCCACAAGTACCCATGGCATAATGTTAGGACAATTGCTTTTTTCCAATTTATCTTATAGATGGGTATTTGTTCTCTCTACACCATAACAATTGATTCTGTTGTGCTTCATAATGACCTTTACAGGTCTTCTTTATTTTATTTTAATTTATTTTAAGTTCCGGGATAAATGTGCAGAGCCTGCAGGTTTGTTACATAGGTATGTATGTGCCATGGTGGTTTGTTCAACTCCCGCTTACGAGTGAGAGCATGCAGTGTTTGGTTTTCTGTTCTACAGATCTAATATTCAGCAGCTATATTTGTGAGGCATATATTAATAGTAAGAATAATGATTATTTGTGTTCAATTCAACTTCTTTGCTTTTTCTTCTGGAGATTCTGACGGGTGACTTCAATAAAGATTCAAAACTAATGAAGCGGGATTTTTTGCTCCTTAGTTCAGCTAAAATCCAGGTTCTCGTCTCACAGGAAAAATTAGGCACACAGACACATTAAAGGATGAGGAGGGCCGATTTATTAAGCGAAAAGAAAGCTCTCAGCAAAGAAAGGGGGGGTCCTGCCAACAGGCGCCCACCTCACACATTGAATACCAGGCTACCACACTTGAGCTAAAGAGGCCAGGCTCCTCCCCTTGCATAAGGCGCGAATTCCCGGTGGCTCCACCCCATTCCCCCAGTGTGCAGGCAGGCCCCCAGTCCATTGTGGGCATGTCCAGACAAGACCCTGTGCCTCCTGCATCTATCACTAACATTGCTTGAGGTGATGCCAGGCCTATATGTTTTCCCCAAATAGTGCTTTAAGCATTAAAGTTAAATGTTTAAAATGGAAGTGATTCTGCATTCAGTCCATAATATGGAAGACTTTTTTAAAATATAAAATACAGCTACTCCTTCTGGGGGATGTTTTTTGGGTAGCTGAGGAAACTTCACATTATATTAGAAATATGTAATAATGATCTTTGGACATCTTTGTAACCTTTTTTTCCTTTTTTCTTTTGGCAAAGAACTTTCAGTACTGTACTACCACAGATTGATACTACTGGACAGTTGTTTGTACAGACTCGGAAAGGTCAGGAAGTTCTTATTAAGGTGAAGCATTTCATGAAACAACACATTCTTCCAGCTGAAAAGGTGAGTATTATATAAGCAGAATGTATTTCTGCTAAAGGACTATCAATGAATACTTTTGTTATTTCTGCTTATAGGAGAAGCATGGTGTCATTTTCTTTAGTCAATCCTTACCTAGATTCTTCTTCTCACCTTAGAACTAAGCCACGATAGAACAAAGGGAATGCACAGATAAGTCTGTGGCATTAAAATTAAGCCAAAGAGAATTAGTAGTTTTAACATTGGGAGCCTAACTATGTTAGAGTAAAACACTACTTTGGGGGCCTTGTCCTAAGGCAGTAAGTTTCAGCTTTTTTTTTTTTGTAAATATGGACCCCTTTGAGAATTTAATGAGAAGTGTAGACTATACAAGATGGACACACCTAGAGAATTTTACATATCATTTCAAGCTGTTCACAGATACTACCACCCCTCTTCCTATAAGCTACTATTTTAAGGCATTAAGTTTCAATAAGTTCACTGAGAGTAGAGAGGCAATATGGAACATTCATTCATTCAGTTACCAAATAATTATTGGGTACTTGATGATGCTTAGGCACCTGGAAAGCTACAGAATGTAAATAGATAATAAGACATACAGGGCTTATGCTCATGTGAAGCTTAGACTTTAGCAGGAAAGGAAGACACTAAATAAGAGATGATAAATGTTGTGAAGAAAAGATAAAAGCTTTTACAAAAATATGTAAGGGAGTTGGGGCAGGCTGTTTATATGTGGGTAGAACACTGGTGTAGAAATGCTAATGGCTTTATTCTAGTCTATCCCTGTCACAAGTTTGGTGGCCTTGTGTTAGATGGTCTTGCGTGGCCTCAGTTTTTTCCTCTACAATGTGAGTAGGTATGACTAAATATATAACACATTCTCATTTTAATCATCTATGATTCTGAGAGGTCTACAGCTAGCCTGGTAAAATCAAATAGGGAACTGAAAGAGACCAAAATCCTTTTAACAGAAATGTTCAGAGCTGATATGTGTTTGTAGGACAGTTTGTGCTGTTGCTTGAATTATATAAATAATTATTATATTTTTAGTAAATATCTGGCTTGAGATTAACTTTGCTCACAGAATAGGGTATAATTTCTTTAAAAAATACTACTTAAAGTGAGGAAATTCTTTCTAAAATAGTCACCTCTCACATGTGTTTAGTGACTGAAGTATCTTGAATATTTTCTGATCTAGTTAGTGTTTGTTCAATTCTGATTTTTAAAACTGTGAACTCTTGAGTATTAAAAAGGGAATGCAACACTTTTAGGTTAAGATAGCAGTGTGAATTCAACATTGTCCTCCCCTCCCTCAAATAAAATCCAATTTAATAAATAATAAGTTTTTTTATAAAATGGAATAAATTGGTATAAGCTTGAAAACAGAAGAGGGACATATCAGAGGAATTAAGGTTTTGAAAAGAGAATGGAAATTAGATTTGGAAAGCAGAATGGATTAGCCCCTAGAATAATCTAACAATAGAAGCCATATCTCAGAAGAAGTTTGAAAGAAGTCTGTAGCACAAGTGGTAACCATTTTCCCACAGTGGAGTCCACTGTGATTGGCTTATATAGAAAGCAAAAATGAGAAGAGGAAAAGAAATCAAGATGTTTGATTTAAGAATTACCTGCAGGTGGACGACTGCTTCGGTTGGTCTCTTATAACCTGTTATAGCAATGGTGTTTGCCCCCAGGCAGAAGGCTGCAACAGCACTCCAAAAAATGCAAATGGACCAGTGTGCTGGCTCAAGCCTGTAATCCCGGCACTGTGGGAGGGCGAGGTTGGTGGATGGCTTGAGCCCAGGAGTTTGAGACCAGCCTGGGCAACATGGCATAAACCCAATCTCTACTAAAAATACAAAAATTAGCCCGGCGTGCTGCACACCTATAGTCCCAGCTACTCGGGAGGCTGAGGTGGGAGGATTGCTTGAACCTGGGAGGCAGAGGTTGCAGGGAGCCGAGATTGCGCCACTGCACTCCAGCCTGGGCAACAGTGAGACCCTGTCTCAACAACGACAAAAAAGCAAATGATCTGTTTCAAAGAAGCCAGGGCTTCAACATGAGATTTAGTGCCCTAGAGGAGGGTCCTCCATGTTTTGGCTTTTTTTTTTTAATGGAGTCTTGCTCTGTTGCCCAGGCTGGAGTGCAGTGGCACCATCTCGGCCCACTGCAACCTCCGCCTCCTGGGTTCAAGCGATTCTTCTGCCTCAGCCTCCCAAGTAGCTGGGACTACAGGTGCCTGCCACCAAGCCTGGCTAATTTTTGTATTTTTAGTAGGGATGGAGTTTCACCATATTGGCCAGGCTGGTCTCGAACTCCTGACCTCGTGATCCGCGCACCTCAGCCTCCCAAAGTGCTGGGATTACAGGTGTGAGCCACCACGCCCGGCCTTTTTTTTTTTTTTCCTTCAAGAGACAGGGTCTTGCTGTGTCTCCAAGCTAGAGTGTGTGATGTGATGCTATCTCACTGCAGCCTCAAACTCCAGGGCTCAAGCAAACCACCCAACTCAGCCTCCTGAGTAGCTGGGATTACAGGAATATGCCACCATACCGGGCTAAATTTTACATTTTTTTGTAGAGACCTGGTCTCACTCTGTTGCCCAGAACTACTGGCTTCAAGCAATCCTCCCACCTCAGCCTCCCAGAGCGCTGGGATTACAGGTGTGAGCACCTGCACCTGAACAACTTTTCTTTTTTCGGGGGTGGGGGAGGGTGGTGGGGGGTGGTGGGGATTGGGCAGAAATCCCAGGTTGTCTGTCCTCCCTGATTACTGCCTGATTCCTACCTACTTTCTCTAAAATGAAGCCTATCTGATAGCATGCTAGTACTTGCAATCAGCCCATCATTCAGAGGAGAGGCCAGAATTGGCAGAGGAAACCAGGCAGGCTTGTTCTTTCATTGGTAAATGTGAATAAGCATATAAGAGAAACTGCAGCACAGAAGAGGTGTCACAGGTTGGGTTGTGATACTCTGCTGAACTTTGTGTCATGCAGCTATTGAAATATGTACAAAAAATTTGCAATAAAAAGAAGTGCTTTAAGATAAATAAAAAAGCAGCCTATAGCTTTAAAGGGAAGATTGCCAATGTTTTGTGTGACCAGAAAAGCCACAATCATTTGTCTTTGAAGATCCTTTAAATCTGAGACATAACCATATCTGATAATGTGAGCTTTTTCTTCTTTTAAAAAAATTGAAAAAAAAAATCGTACTGTACCAACATCTATAAAAACGTTTTATCCTGTAGAATGATAGTGAACAATACAAATCTCTGTGTAACATGTTAGAGGATGTTATTTGGAGATTATATTTGGAGAAAAGTAAATAGCTTTTTCAAAATCAAAGAGGGAAAAATCTATATAAGATTCTATCCAACATTATTATAACTAAGCTTACAAAAACCAAAACAGTCATTTCTAGAAAATAGGTTGTATCATATAATACAATACTTTAACAGCACTTGTCTTTAACCACTGAGACGCTTCATGACTTTTTCTTTATATTTTTAGATATTTTCAAATTTTCTATAGTGAGAAAACATAAGCTTCATTTAAACTATTCTAATGACCTTTTGAAACTCCTTGAATATTATAAAGTGAGAGCATAACCCTTATCTATGAAAATATTAAAAGCCAATTCTTCCAATTGGAAAATATTAAAAGCCAGTTTAAGCCAATTTAAAATGGGTAAGAAATCCTAAAAATAGCATGTAAAACAGGAACTAGCAACATAACACAGTGAGAACACACTTTTAACATAATGGTAACATTAATCATACTTTCCTGCTGAGTCTAATATACTAAGGATGAACTGTTGCTTCTTTCTAGTAGACTTCAGTTTAAAATGAAAAACATTTTGCAAAATTATTTGTAGGCTCAGATTTAAGATGCTGAACCAACCAACATACTCAAAATTAGTATCTCTGTCAGTGAGTGAGGACGCAGTATGCTACAGGTGATATTTTGGGAAGATTGACCAGGCACCAAGCATAGTTTCTGCTTTTGGCTATTAACTAATAAATTACTTTTCTTACTTTAAGAACCAAAGAAGGGTTCTTTATAATGAGGAATTTTATTTAATTTTGAGTCCTACCGTGCCACAAATAAACTTTGCAGATATCTAAATGGATAAAATTTAGAACTCAAAGTATTAAATAATACAAATTTTAAAATTATATAAACACTGGCATAATTTAATTTCTTCAAACTGTGGTCAGAGATGAGAAAAGGTGGTCAGAGATTAGAAAATGAGAAATGTACTGCATAATATATTTCTTATCAAACACAGTAGCATTGAATATTTCCAAGGCAATATGAGGGATGGAAATAATAAACAACCCCAAACAGGAAATCTTCCAATTTAACGGACTTCCTGACAGAAATGAGAAGGGCTGTTCATCCTGGTGCCTTTGAAAGAGCAGACCTTTGCCTTCTTGAGGTTTTCATTAAATACTGCAATACTCTAGACTAGCCATGCTTCAATGAAAGGAACATTTTAGTACATTGTTATATGAGTGTAAATTGATAGAATGATTTGGAAAATAATTTGATAATATGGGTTAAGAGTTTTGACAATGTTTGTAAGTAATACCACTAGCCTAAGTGTAGAAACATACAGAGATACTATAATAGCAAAATATTGGAAAATGCTGTTATACTCCAATATTTTTGTTCTATATTCTTTTAGTTGTACAAATTAGTGATTGTTATTGTTTTATGTGGCTTTTTTTTTTTTTTTTTTGAGACAGAGTCTCATTCTGTCACCCAGGCTGCAGTGGGGTGGGGCAATCTCGGCTCACTGCAACCTCTGCTTCCTGGGTTCAAGTGATTCTCCCGCCTCAGCCTCCTGAGTAGCTGGGACTATAGCCATGTGCCACCACACTCAGCTAATTTTTGTGTATTTTGGTAAAGACAGGGTTTCATTATGTTTCATTTGGTAAAGACAGGTAGGCCAGGCTAGTGTCAAATTTCTGACCTCAAGTAATCTGCCCACCTTGGCCTCCCAAAATGCTGGGATTATAGTTTCAAATTTTAAGTTTACCTACCTATTTATCATTTTATTTATTTACTATTCCTTCTTGCAACTCAGATGTTTCTTCTAGGTCAAGTTCCTTTAGTGTGAATGTGCGAGTAAACTTTTCCCTTTCCTTTGTTTATCTTTTTTGTTGTTGTTTTCCTTTTTTCTTGCTGGGGAGAGGTGGCAATGACTTTACTTATTGTTAATACCTTTATTTTGCCCTAGTTCGTGAAAGATAGTTTCATTGCATATAGAATTTTACAATGACAGTTATTTTCTCTCAGCAATTGAAGCTATTATCCCAGTGATTTCTGGCTTCATTTGTTGCTTTGAGAAGTCAGCTCTCAATCTTAACTGTTGTTTAATTATCAGTAATCTTTCTTTTTTCCCCTCTTCTTTCTCTTTTTCAGATTATGAGACTGATGCACTGCCCTACTGCGCTAAGGAGGCAACCTCCTCTTTCTAAGAGCTTTTCTTTCTCTTTAATGTTCTGTAGTTTTACTATGCTCTGGCTTCATTGGCTTTCCGAATTTGAGGATTGCTGTCTTATCAGTTCCGAAAACTTTTAAGAGTAATTTTTCCAAATATTGCCTCTCTCTTTATTCTTTATGTCTGGGACTCCAATTAGACTTGTGTTAGAACTTCTTTTTGAATTCATTATATTCCTTTACCACTCATATTTGCCTTCTTTTGAGTTTCTGTGCATCATTCTGAGTAATTTCTTCAGGTCTTTCTTCCAATTTATGATTTGTTTTTTCAGCTGTTATCTAATCTATTTTTCAACATCCACAGAGTAACTGTTTTCAAATTTTGGAGTGTGTGAGAATTGCTTAAGCTAGTAAAGGACACAGAAGTGCAGGTTCATTGAAGTAGGACAAAGCTTAGGCCCCCATATTTTTATCAAGTTCCCCAGGAGATTCTGAGAGCCACCAAAATTTGGGAATCACTGCCATAGAGTTTTTAAGTTTCATCTCTATGGTTTTCCTTTCCTTAGATTTTATTCAATTCTTTTTCAAATGTGCCTGGTCACTTTTGATAGTCCTTTGTTATACTTTTAATTTCTTCCTTTATTCTTGAAATCTATTAAACACAAATAGTTTATGTCCTGTGACTGATCATTACTCTATTTATAGTCTTTGGGAAGTGCAATTCCATCTTGGTGAATGATTGTTTTTGCTAACTCTTACTAATGGTGGCTTGTTTCCTTGAGTGATAAATAGTTTTTTATTTTGAACTCATGTTCTGGAATTTTATCTGTGAAAGTTATTTAAGGCTTTGTTTAAAGCTCTTTCCTACAGATAGGATTTGTTTTCGCATCTGCCAGGTATTAGCAGGCACTGTCACCAGAAACACTGTAAACTTAAATTTTGGCTTAAAGTTTAATGCCCCATAAGTCTGTGAATTCAGTCCCAAACTTGGGTGAAAACAGACTTCAGTTAGAATGTTTATTTTGTCTATTCCAGCCAGAGCTAAGACCTATATAAAGGCCTGTATTCCCATGGTCTACCTCTGAGGGGTGGGTTTTCTGTTTGTTTGTTTTTGCTTTTTAAATTTTCTTCCACTTAGGTTTTACCCATCAAGCAGCCTAGCTTTGGTGGAGGAAAGAGCTGATCTTTGATCCTCCCTCTTGCCATGTTTGGGGCATTTGACTATGTCTGACTCCTGCCTATGTGGCCCATTAAAACCTAGGGTGTAACAGGGCTAACATAGATCAGCCTATATGCCCTGGACAAACTTGGCTGCAATGTGTGCTCACACTTGAAGAGTCAGGCTTTTTTGTTTCTGGCCTCCAAGGAATTTTCTCATTTTCCTTCCAGCACAGCTATGTATTAATAAATGTATTTTAAAACTATTTTTAATATTTTACCCAACATTTTTAGTTGAGCAGTTTCTATGACTATCTAGTTTGTCATATTGCTAGAAATGAAACACTCAAATCTTGGTATAAGATTTTAGTAGCCTACTATCTAATATTGTGGCAGCATGATTTTGTGATCAGCAAACCTTTAGAATGTTTTATGCTTCTGTGTCTGGTTTAATAATAGCTGAAAAAGCATCTTCACCTAAAAATGTTTATTTTAGATATTAGCAGTTTATGACATTGTTTACTTTGTATTAACTTTAGCTAGTGAAATTTTTTTCTTTTATTACTTTAAGGAGGTAACTGAGTTCTATGTTCAAAATGAAAATTCAGTGGACAAGTGGGGAAAACCTTTAGTGATTGATAAACTCAAGGTAAGAAAATCTTTAACGCTAGAAAATTCATATGCAAGTGTTTTTTGAGATCCTAGACCTTAGTTTTGTTGTTGCTATTGTTATATATGTAGAAGAAAATTATATCAATAATAACCTTTAAAAAAAGAAAGTTAATAAATAGAATCTATAACATACAAATTAGGCTAGGTAGTGTTCTATATATGGTAGTAATGAAGACAACCTCTTACAACTGTTCAAAGGAAAAAATATGATTAAAACTATTCATTATTAGCCATCACTGAATTGAGACTGAAGTCAAGGCAGGGCATTTGTCCCACATAGAATTAATCCAAATTTCATGTTTTTCAAATCTTAACATCAATTCATGTAAGAAATTAAAATGCACAAAGTAGTATATTTGGCATATCATACTCAAATGTGGGAGATTTTGTAATAGTTCTGATTCCAGAAGAAGTTCTCAAGTAGCAAACTTAATTTTTCAGCCAAATCCAAGGAAGCTTGGAGGAAAAGACATGTTATTAATGGTTAAACTGTTGATTTATAATGAATTAATAAGAACTTGGTTTTGCTCACTGGAGAATACAGTAAAATAAATAACTCCATAAGTGTTTTTAAATTTCAAAGATCATAAATACCAATATTTAAAAAAAGAAATAAACTACTGTGAGTCCTGGTAAATTATGGTCACTCTGGCATGTTCATCACCTTGACAGGAAATGGCCAAAGTCGAGGGTCTCTGGAACTTGTTTTTGCCAGCTGTCAGCGGACTCAGCCACGTGGACTATGCCTTGATTGCTGAAGAAACAGGAAAATGCTTTTTTGCTCCAGATGTCTTTAACTGCCAAGCACCAGGTTACTACATTAATTGAAAACATAATTTTTTCTAATATTTTGATCAGTGTTTAAAATTTCTATATATGATAAGAATGTGTTTTTATACAAAGTTATTGACTTATGAATTTAGCTATAATTTTACTTTTCAGTTACTTTGATTTAAATATAAGAAATGGATTTGAAATTTTCATTGGACTATTCTTTTGTTAAATATCATTACAATTAAGAGTATTGGTGAAAAAAATTAGCCACCAAAGGGATTGGTCGTGTAAGGATCATGGATCATGGATCCATGGGAATTGGATATTTCTATTACTAGTTGGAATGGATAGAGAGTTTCAAATCTTTTGGTTAGCCTCACTATTCATTCACCAAATGAATAAACCATTCATTTACCAATTATTTACTGATTACCTACTATGTCCCGAGCAGTGTTCTATGTTCTCACAATGATATATCAGTGAATAAAATACGCAAAGATGCCTTCTTTCAAGGATCTAATTGACATACAAGGATACAAAAATAAATAATAATTATAATAAGTAAACTTCAAACTTACGTAATAAGTTTGAAGATGAAAAGTGCTTTGGAAAAAAACAGCAGAATAGAGGAGCTCTGAAATTTGAAGTACAGGGAATATGGGTTACATTTTTAAATAGAATGGTCAGGATAGGCCTCACTGAGAAAATGACATTTGGTAATAACTTATATAAGGTGATTTCTTGAGTTAGTCATGCTGTTATATGGGGAAAGAGTTTTTATAGTAGATGGAACAGAAAAGGCAAGAGTGTGATTGATGTATTCCAGTAATAACCAGAGAGGCCAGTGTGGCCAGGAAAATAATAGTAGGAGAAGAGATCAGAGAGGCAAGGGCCTCATATTTTGAGCTTCATAGGGCAAATAAGAGGGGCTTATACCTTCATTGAAAGGATGAGCCAATGGGAATTTTGTGCAGATTAGTGATAAGTTGTAACTTCAGTTTTGAAAGGATCACCTTGACTGCTATGTTGAGAATTGACCAAAGTAGGGTAAGAGGGAAGCAGAGAGTCAGTGGCAATAATCCTGGTGAGAGATAATGGTGGTTTAGACTGGGGTGGTAGTAGTGTAGTGGATGATAAGTAGCAAGATTCTAAATATATTTTAAAGGCAGAGCCATGAGGATATCCTCATTGGATATGGGGTATTAATGGAAGAGTCAAGGATGCCTCCAAGGATTTTGAGGTGAAATCAAATTGAAAAGATGAAGGAAGGAGGCCAATTTTTTAAAAAGTAAAATGAAAGGAGTAAACCTGGAACGTAGTCTATAGGAGGTATCTTCAAAACTGGATTTGCAGAAGAACCACCTAAGGAACCTTTGAAAAATCTAGATTCCCAGCCTCCATCCCTAGAGATTCTGATTCAGTATATCTAGGGTAGACCCTGGGAATATTTTTTTTCAAATTACTCTGATTATCCTAATGCTACCAGTCAAGGACTAGCACTTGATTTGTAGTAGGATGATTATGGGACAATATCCAATGGCAGGCCCATCCCTGCACAAGATAGGCCTCAGTATTGCCTTTTGTGTTTATGCATGGCCCTGGTGCTAAAGCTCTACCAAAAACAAGTTAATGCAGGCTACCAGAAAGAGGTATATGAGACAGTACTGGACTCCTGAGACAAAACGCAGTCTGGATTTTCCACACTGGACTTTGTCTCATTGCTTTGGCATCATTAAAATAGTTTGTAGATTTCTGATAATGGTTGAACTTGTCCCTGAAATGATTATCTCTTTTCCAAACACTGATTTATCAAATTACTGCTGTACTACATTGTAATCCAATAATAAGCTACTGTAAAATTAAAGTCTATTCACAGAGCTTCTAAAGATTTCATCTCAACTGTGTAAGGCTATTACATCATTCTACAAAGGTAGCATGATTTTGTGGAAAGGGAACTGAATGGGTAGTCTTTTTGTTTAAAACATTTTTGATTGCTACTCATAGTAAGAAATATATTTTATATTGTGACCCAATTTGTAGAATATATAGGTGTATGTATATGTTCAGAATGAATGGATGGATGGATGGATGGATATTATTGAAACAAAAGTTTCACAAAACAAGAGTTTCTCTTACTACATGCAAGTGCATTTGGATATTTTCCACTGAGTCTAATCTAATGCATTCTATTTTGTTCTATTTCATTTTTTAGAGAATGCTAGCTATATTCCATTAAGTTGATTTCATGATGCACTAATGGATCATAATATGAAAAATAATCCTACCAAAGACTTCTCTTGCAGATTCAGCTCTGCCACTATTTTATCATTTGACCTGTGAACTCACTTTTCACTAGATGGTCATGGATTTTTCTCTAGCATTAAAATTTCATGAGTCCATCAGCTGTACTGCCTAAATGAGATAACTAAATTGCTGAAATTTTAAAATTGGACAGAGATTTGCTCTAAGAAATGATGAGCAACTCTTCTAAGCAAACAAGTTGTGTACAACTATAAATAGAAAACTAGGCGTTTTCTCTTTGTGGTGAAGGTACCACGAAGGCCTCAAGCATTGCATTTTGGATCATTTCCAAAGCAGATGAAGAAGGCAGTATAATTGATGTTGAGTAAATACTTCGAGAGGTTTCTTAAGTATAAAAGATGAATTTCTACTCAAGCCACCCAGATCATTTCCCAAATAGTTATAAAACATATGGGAAACATATGTAGTCTTCCAGTTTGCCCTTTTTCCCCCCTTCAATAAGTCATACAATATTGTATATTGGAATGTTGAAAATAGCAACTTTAATTCTAAAGCTATTACTGGAAAATTTGGGGGCCTTTGGGCTGGTATTTGTTTTATATACTTTAAGTTCTGGGATACGTGTGCAGAACGTGAAGGTTTGTTACGTAGGTATACACATGCCATGGTGGTTTGCTGTCATCTACATTAGGTATTTCTCTTAATGCTATCTCTCCCCTAACCCCTCACCTTGCGACAGGCGCTGATATGTGATGTTCCCCTCCCTGTGTCCATGTGTTTTCATTGTTCAGCTCCTACTTATGAGTGAGAATATGCAGTGTTTGGTTTTCTGCTCCTGTATTAGTTTGCTGAGAATGATGGTTTCCAGCTTCATCCATGTCCCTGCAAAGAACAGGAACTCATCCCTTTTTTATGGCTGCATAGTATTCCATGGTGTGTATGTGTCACATTTTCTTTATCCAGTCTGTCATTGATGGGCATTTGGATTGGGTCCAAGTCTTTGCTATTGTGAATAGTGCTGCAATAAACATACATGTGCATGTGTCTTTATAGTAGAATGATTTATAATCCTTTCGGTATATATCCAGTAATGGGATTGGTGGGTCAAATGGTATTTCTGGTTCTAGATCCTTGAGGAATCACCATACTGTCTTCCACAATGGTTGAACTAATTTACACTCCCACCAACAGTGTAAAAGCTTTCCTATTTCTCCACATCCTCTCCAGCATCTATTGTTTCCTGACTTTTTGATGATCACCATTCTAACTGGCGTGAGATGGTATCTCATTGTGGTTTTGATTTGTGTTTCTCTAATGACCAGTGATGATGAGCTTTTTTTCATATGTTTGTTGGGCACAGAAATGTCTTCTTTCGAGAAGTGTCTGTTCATATACTTTGCCCACTTTTTGATGGGGTTCTTTGTTTTTTCTTCTAAATTTGTCTAAGTTCTTTGTAGATTCTGGATATTAGCCCTTTGTCAGATGGATGAAGTGCAAAATTTTTCTCCCATTCTGTAGGTGGCCTGTTCACTCTGGTGATAGTTTCTTTTGCTGTGCAGAAGCTTTTTAGTTTAATTAGATCCTATTTGTCTATTTTGGCTTTTGTTGCCATTGCTTTTGGTGTTTTAGTCATGAAGTCTTTGCCCATGCCTATGTCCTGAATGGTATTGCCTAGGTTTTCTTCTAGGGCTTTTGTCATTTTAGGTCTTACGTTTAAGTCTTTAATCCATCTTGAGTTAATTTTTGCATAAGGTGTAAAGAAGGCATCCAGTTTCAGCTTTCTGCATATGGCTAGCCAGTTTTCCCAACACCATTTATTAAATAGGAAATCCTTCCCACATTGCTTGTTTGTGTCAGGTTTGTCCAAGATCAGATGGTTGTAGATGTGTGGCGTTATTTCTGAGGCCTCTGTTCTGTTCCATTGGTCTATATATCTATTTCGGTACCAGTACCATGCTGTTTTTGTTACTGTAGCCTCGTAGTATAGTTTGAAGTCAGGTAGCATGATGCCTCCAGCTTTGTTCTTTTTGCTTAGGATTGTCTTGACTATATGGGCTCTTTTCTGGTTCCATATGAAATTTAAAGTACTTTTTTTCTAATTCTGTGAAGAAAGTCAATGGTAGCTTGATGGGGATGGCATTGAATCTATAAATTACTTTGGGCAGTATGGCCATTTTCATGATATTGATTCTTCCTATCCATGAGCATGGAATGTTTTTCCATTTGGTTGTGTCCTGTCTTATTTCCTTGAGCAGTGGTTTGTAGTTCTCCTTGAAGAGGTCCTTCACATCCCTTATAAGTTGGATTCTTAGGTATTTTATTCTCTTTGTAGCAATTGTGAATGGGAGTTCACTCAAGATTTGGCTCTCTGTTTGTCTATTATTGGTGTATAGGAATGCTTGTGATTTTTGCACATTGATTTTGTATCCTGAGACTTTGCTGAAGTTGCTTATCAGCTTAAGGAGATTTTGGGCTGAGATGATGGGGTTTTCTTTTTTCTTTCTTTTTTGAGATGGAGTCTCACTCGTCTCGCCCAAGCTGGAGAGCAGTGGTGCAATCTTGGCTCACTGCAACCTCCGCCTCCCAGGCCCAAGCAATTCTCCTGCCTCAGCCTACTGAGTAGCTGGGATCACAGGAGCCTGCCACCATGCCCGACTAATTTTTGTACTTTTAGTAGAGATGTGGTTTCACCATGCTGACCAGGCTGGTCTCAAGCTCCTGACCTCAGGTGATCCATCCACCTTGGCATCCCAAAGTGCTGGGATTACAGGCGTGAGCCACTGCACCCGGCCAATGATGGGGTTTTCTAAATATACTATCATGTCATCTGCAAACAGTGACAATTTGACTTCCTCTCTTCCTATCTGAATACCCTTCATTTCTTTCTGTTGCCTGATTGCCCTGGCCAGAACTTCCAATACTATGTTGAATAGGAGTGGTGAGAGAGGGCATCTTTGTCTTGTGCTGGTTTTCTTTTTTTGTTTGTTTGTTTTGTTTTAGAATATTATTTTTATTTAGTTATTTTTATTATTATTATACTTAAAGTTTTAGGGTACATGTCTACAACGTGCAGGTTTATTACATATGTATACATGTGCCATGTTGGTGTGCTGCACCCATTAACTCGTCATTTAGCATTAGGTATCTCTCCTAATGCTATCCCTCCCCCCTTCCCCCACCCCACAACAGTCCCCAGAGTGTGATGTTCCCCTTCCTGTGTCCATGTGTTCTCATTGTTCAATTCCCACCTATGAGTGAGAACATGCAGTGTTTGGTTTTTTGTCCTTGCGATAGTTTGCTGAGAATGATGGTTTCCAGCTTTATCCATGTCCCTACAAAGGACATGAACTCATTATTTTTTATGGCTGCATAGTATTCCATGGTGTATATGCGCCACATTTTCTTAATCCAGTCTATCATTGTTGGACATTTGGGTTGGTTCCAAGTCTTTGCTGTTGTGAATAGTGCCACAATAAACATACGTGTGCATGTGCCTTTATAGCAGCATGATTTATAATCCTTTGGGTATATACCCAGTAATGGGATGGCTGGGTCAAATGGAATTTCTAGTTCTAGATCCCTGAGGAATCGCCATACTGACTTCCACAATGGTTGAACTAGTTTACAGTCCCACCAACAGTGTAAAAGTGTTCCTATTTCTCCACATCCTCTCCAGCACCTGTTGTTTCCTGACTTTTTAATGATTGCCATTCTAACTGGTGTGAGATGGTATCTCATTGTGGTTTTGATTTGCATTTCTCTGATAGCCAGTGATGATGAGTGCTTTTTCATGTGTTTTTTGGCTGCATAAATGTCTTCTTTTGAGAAGTGTCTGTTCATATCGTTCACCCACTTGTTGATGGGGTTGTTTGTTTTTTTCTTGTAAATTTGTTTGAGTTCATTGTAGATTCTGGATATTAGCCCTTTGTCAGATGAGTAGGTTGCAATAATTTTCTCCCATTCTGTAGGTTGCCTGTTCACTCTGATGGTAGTTTCTTTTGCTGTGCAGAAGCTCTTTAGTTTAATTAGATCCCATTTGTCAATTTTGTCTTTTGTTGCCATTGCTTTTGATGTTTTAGACATGAAGTCCTTGCCCATACCTATGTCCTGAATGGTATTGCCTAGGTTTTCTTCTAGGGTTTTTATGGTTTTAGGTCTAACATGTAAGTCTTTAATCCATCTTGAATTAATTTTTGTATAAGGTGTAAAGAAGGGATCCAGTTTCAGCTTTCTACATATGGCTAGCCAGTTTTCCCAGCACCATTTATTAAATAGGGAATCCTTTCCCCATTTCTTGTTTTTGTCAGGTTTATCAAAGATCAGATAGTTGTAGATATGCGGCATTATTTCTGAGGGCTCTGTTCTGTTCCATTGGTCTGTATCTCTGTTTTAGTACCAGTACCATGCTGTTTTGGTTACTGTAGCCTTGTAGTGTAGTTTGAAGTCAGGTAGCGTGATGCCTCCAGCTTTGTTCTTTTGGCTTAGGATTGACTTGGCGATGCAGGCTCTTTTTTGGTTCCATTTGAACTTTAAAGTAGTTTTTTCCAATTCTGTGAAGAAAGTCATTGGTAGCTTGATGGGGATGGCATTGAATCTATAAATTACCTTGGGCTGTATGGCCATTTTCACTATATTGATTCTTCCTACCCAAGAGCATGGAATGTTCTTCCATTTCTTTGTATCCTCTTTTATTTCATTGAGCAGTGGTTTGTAGTTCTCCTTGAAGAGGTCCTTCACATCCCTTGTAAGTTGGATTCCTAGGTATTTTATTCTCTTTGAAGCAATTGTGAATGGGAGTTCACTGATGATTTGGCTCTCTGTTTCTCTGTTATTGGTGTATATGAATGCTTGTGATTTTTGCACATTGATTTTGTATCCTGAGACTTTGCTGAAGCGGCTTATCAGCTTAAGGAGATTTTGGGCTGAGACGATGGGGTTTTCTAGATATATACTCATGTCATCTGCAAACAGGAACAATTTGACTTCCTCTTTTCCTAATTGAATGCCCTTTATTTCCTTCTCCTGCTTGATTGCCCTGGCCAGAACTTCCAACACTGTGTTGAATAGGAGTGGTGAGAGAGGGCATCCCTATCTTGTGCCAGTTTTCAAGGGGGATGCTTCCAGTTTTTGTCCATTCAGTTTGATGTTGGCTGTGGATTTGTCATAGATAGCTCTTATTATTTTGAGATACGTCCCATTGATACCTAATTTATTGAGAGTTTTTAGCATGAAGCGTTGTTGAATTTTGTCTAAAGCCTTTTCTGCATCTCTTGAGATAATAATGTGGTTTTTGTTTTTGGTTCTGTTTATATGCTGGATTACGTTTACTGATTTGCGTATGTTGAACCAGCCTTGCATCCCAGGGATGAAGCCCACTTGATCATGGTGGATAAGCTTTTTGATGTGCTGCTGGATTCCGTTTGCCAGTATTTTATTGAGGATTTTTGCATCAATGTTAATCAAGGATATTGGTCTAAAATTCTCTTTTTTTATTGTGTCTCTGCCAGGCTTTGGTATCAGGATGATGCTGGCCTCATAAAATGAGTTAGGGAGGATTCCCTCTTTTTCCATGAATAGGAATAGTTTCAGAAGGAATGGTACCAGCTCCTTCTTCTACCTCTGGTAGAATTCAGCTGTGAATCCATCTGGTCCTGGACTTTTTTTGGTTGGTAGGTTATTAATTATTGCCTCAATTTCAGAGCCTGTTATTGGTCTATTCAGAGATTCAACTTCTTCCTGGTTTAGTCTTGGGAGGGTGTATGTGTCTAGGAATTTATCCATTTCTTCTAGATTTTCTAGTTTATTTGCATAGAGGTGTTCATAGTATTCTCTGATGGTAGTTTGTATTTCTGTGGGATCGGTGGTGATATCCCCTTTGTCATTTTTTATTGCTTCTATTTGATTCTTCTCTCTTTTCTTCTTTATTAATCTTGCTAGCGGTCTATCAATTTTGTTGATCTTTTCAAAAAACCAGCTCCTGGATTCGTTGGTTTTTTGAAGGGTTTTTTGTGTCTGTATTTCCTTCAGTTCTGCTCTGATCTTAGTTATTTCTTGCCTTCTGCTAGCTTTTGAATGTGTTTGCTCTTCTCTAGTTCTTTTAATTGTGATGTTAGGGTGTCAATTTTAGATCTTTCCTGCTTTCTCTTGTGGGCATTTAGTGCTATAAATTTCCCTCTACATACTGCTTTGAATGTGTCCCAGTTTCAAAGGGAGTGCTTCCAGCTTTGGTCCATTCAGTATGATATTGGCTGTGGGTTTGTCATAAATAGCTCTTATTATTTTGAGATACGTTCTATCAATACCGAGTTTATTGAGTTTTTGCATGAAGGGGTGTTTAATTTTATCAGAGGCCTTTTCTGCATCTATTGAGATAATCATGTGGTTTTTGTCATTGGTTCTGTTTATGTGATGGATTACATCGATTGGTTTGCATATGTTGAACCAGCCTTGCATCCCAGGGATGAAGCCAACTTGATTGTGGTGGATAAGCTTTTTGATGTGTTGCTGGATTTGGTTTGCCAGTATTTTATTGAGGATTTTCACTTCGATGTTCATCAGGTATATTGGCCTGAAATTTTCTTTTTTTGTTGTGTCTCCACCAGGTTTTGGTATCAGGATGATGCTGGCCTCATAAAACGAGTTAGGAAGGAGTCCCTCTTTTTCTATTTGGAATAGTTTCAGAAGGAAGGGTACCAGCTCCTCTTTGTACCTCTGGTAGAATTCGACTGTGAAACCATCTGGTCCTGGGCTTTTTTGGGTTGGTGGGCTATTAATTACTGCCTCAGTTTCAGACCTTGTTATTGGTCTATTCAGGGATTTGACTTCTTTTTGGTTTAATCTTGGGAGGGTATATGTGTCCAGGAGTTTATCCATTTCTTCTAGATTTTCTAGTTTATTTGCATAGGGTGTTTATAGTATTCTCTGATGGTAGTTTGTATTTCTGTGGGATCAGTGTTGATATCCCCTTTATCATTTTTTATTGTGTCTATTTGATTCTTCTCTTTTCTTTATTAGTCTGGCTAGTGGTGTATTTAGTTAACCTTTTCAAAAAAACAGCTCCTGGATTCATTTATTTTTTGAAGGGTTTTTCTTGTCCCTATCTCCTTCAGTTCTGCTCTGATCTTGGTTATTTCTTGTCTTCTGCTAGCTTTTGAATTTGTTTGGCTTGCTTCTCTAGTTCTTTTAATTGTGATGTTAGCGTGTCAATTTTACATCTTTCCCGCTTTCTCCTGTGGGCATTTAGTGCTAAAAATTTCCCTCTAAATACTGCTTTAGTTGTGTCCCAGAGATTCTGGTACATTGTGTCTTTGTTCTTATTGGTTTCAAATAACTTATTTATTTCTGCCTTAATTTCATTATTTACCCAGTAGTCATTCAGGAGCAGGTTGTTCAGTTATCATATAGATGTGCGGTTTTGAGTGAGTTTCTTAATCCTGAGTTCTAATTTGATTGCACTGTGGTCTGAGAGTCTTTTTGTTATGATTTCAATTCTTTTGCATTTTCTGAGGAGTGTTTTACATCCAATTATGTGGTCAATTTTAGAATAAGTGCAATGTGGTGCTGAGAAGGATGTATATTCTGTCAGTTTGGGGTGGAGAGTCTGTAGATGACTACTAGGTCTGCTTGGTCCAGAGCTGAGTTCAAGTCCTGAATATCCTTGTTAATTTTCTGTCTCGTCGACCTGTCTGATATTGACAATGGGGTGTTAAAGTCTCCCACTATTATTGTGTGGGAGTCTAAGTCTCTTTGTAGTCTCTAAGAATTTGCTTTATGAATCTAGGTGCTCCTGTTTTGGGTGCATATATATTTAGGATAGTTAGCTCTTCTTGTTGCATTGATCCCTTTACCATTATGTAATGTCCTTCTTTGTCTTTTTTTTATCTTTGTTGGTTTAAAGTCTGTTTTATTAGAAACTAGGATTGCAACCCCTGCTTTTTTGTTTGTTTGTTTTTGTTTTGCTTTCCATTTTCTTGGTAAATCTTCCTCCATCCCTTTATTTTGAGCCTATGTGTGTCTGTGCACGTGAGATGGGTCTCCTGAATACAGCACACCAATGGGTCTTGACTGTTTATCCAATTTGCCAGTGTGTGTCTTTAAATTGGGGCATTTAACCCATTTACATTTAAGGTTAATATTGTTATATGTGAATTTGATCCTGTCATTATGATGCTAGCTGGTTATTTTGCCTGTTAGTTGATGCAGTTTCTTTATAGTGTCGATGGTCTTTACAATTTGGTATGTTTTTGCAGTGGCTAGTACCAGTTTTTGCTTTGCATGTTTAGTGCCTCCTTCAGGAGCTGTTGTAAGACAGGCCTGGTGGTGACAAAATGTCTCCCAGCATTTGTTTGTCTGTAAAGGATTTTATTTTTCCTTCGCTTATGAAGCTTAGTTTGGCTGGATATGAAATTCTGGGTTGGAAATTTCTTTTCTTTAAGAATGTTGAATATTGGCCCCCACTCTCTTCTGGTTTGTAGGGTTTCTGCAGAGAAATCTACTGTTAGTCTGATGGGCTTCCTTTTGTGGGTAACCTGACCTCTCTGGCTGCCCCTCACATTTTTTCTTTCATTTCAACCTTGGTGAATCTGACGATTATGTGTCTTGGGGTTGCTCTTCTTGAGGAGTATCTTTGTGGTGTTCTCCTTATTTCCTGAATTTGAATGTTGGCCTCTCTTTCTAGGTTGGGGAAGTTCTCCTGGATAATATCCTGAGGAGTGTTTTCCAACTTGGTTCCATTCTCCCCATCATTTTCAGGTACACCAGTCAAACCTAGGTTTGGTCTTTTCACATCATCCCATATTTTTTGGAGGCTTTGTTCATTCCTTTTCATTCTTTTTTCTCTAATCTTGTCTTCATGCTTTATTTCATTAAGTTGATCTTCAGTCTCTGATATCCTTTCTTTCACTTGATTGATTCAGCTATTGATACTTGTGTATACTTCACGAAGTTCTCGTGCTGTGTTTTGCAGCTCTATCAGGTCATTTATGGTCTTCTCTAAACTGGTTATTCTAGTTAGCAATTCCTCTAACCTTTTGTCAAGGTTCTTAGGTTCCTTGCATTGGGTTAGAACATGCTTCTTTAGCTCAGAGGAGTTTGTTATTACTCACCTTCTGAAGCCTACTTCTGTCAATTCGTCAAACTCATTCTCCATCCAGTTTTGTTCCCTTGCTGGCGAGGGGTTGTGATCCTTTGGAGAGAAGAGGCATTCTGGTTTTTGGAATTTTCAGCCTTTTTGCACTGGTTTTTCCTCATCTTCGTGGATTTTTCTACCTTTGGTCTTTGATGTTGGTGACCTTCAGATGGAGTTTTTGTGTAGGTGTCCTTTCTGTTGTTCATGCTATTCCTGTTTGTTAGTTTTCCTTCTGAGTCCGGCCCCTCTGCTGCAGGTCTGCTGGAGTTTGCTGGAGGTCCACTCCCAACCCTGTTTGCCCGGATATCACAAGTGGAGGCTGCAGAACAGCAAAGATTGCTGCCTGTTCCTTCCTCTGGAAGTTTCATCCCTGAGGTGCACCCACCACACACCATCCAGAGCTGTCCTGTTTGAGGTGTATGTTGACCCCTGTTGGGAGGTGTCTCCCTGTCAGAAGGCACGGGGGTCAGGGACCCACTTGAGGAGGCAGTCTGTCCCTTAGCAGAGCTCAAGCACTGTGCTGGGAGATCCGCTGCTCCCTTCAGTGCCGGCAGGCAGGAATGTTGAAGTCTGCTGAAGCCGCGCCCACAGCCACCCCTTCCCGCAGGTCCTCTGTCCCAGGGAGATGGGAGTTTCGTCTATAAGCCCCTGACTGGGGCTACTGCCTTTCTTTTAGAGATGCCCTGCCCAGAGAGGAGGAATCTAGAGAGCTGGTCTGATATTTTTTAATGGGAAATCATTTTTCTTGTTGGTGTAGTTTATCCAAGTTTTTTTTTCCAACCTGTAAATGATAACTTTGTGAGCTTTTCGGAAGAAACTGATAATTTTTGGAAATTTTGAATTCAATATTTACCTTATTTGTACTATAACAAGTAACAGTGAATTTAAAACAGGCAAAGAAAACAAACAATGAGCTTCATGAATTATAACTCAGGACTTATTTTCTCCCTCAGTCAAAAAGAATGTTAAGCTGTGTTAATCTACAAGGAATTTTGTTAATGTTGATGTAATGTTGGCTCTGTTAGGAGTGCCTGAACAGAGTGCAGACATCTTGAGAAGTTTAACTTACACAACTCAATTTTCATAAGCATTTCAGTAACTAACCTTAAAGTCATTGTAAATGTTGATATGAAAATTGTTTTCTCAAAATCTTCTGAATAATCAACACTCAAGGGAAAGGTTTTAGACAGTATTTTAAGAAATTTGACAGGAATGGAAAATCAGAGGAAGCCATCTAGAAAATTTTACTCCATGGCAGTCATGAAGAATTCTTTGTTAGCCAAGGGCAATACTGCAGTGCATCATGTACTATAAACAATACCCTCCAAGGGTCAGAGAGGGTCTTTGAAGTTATCTACTGCCATTTTCTTTCCAGGGCAGGGATTCTGTCTTTAGCATCCTTGAGAATTATCAAGTATTTTCTAGGTAGTATGGGGTACATAAAAGTAAGAGCAATGTTAGAGGTAAATAGAAATAATTGTTATGTAAGTTCAGAGGAAGGAGGTGTCACTGACTGGGTAATCAGAGATTCTTTGCAGAGGAGGTGGCTCATACGCAGGAATTTACTTGTGAAGGACAGGGAGAATTTCACTTGAGAAAAAGCCTGGCCCAAGCATATATGTGGAAATTAGAAAGCACAGGGTGTGTTTGAGGAACAGCAGATAAAATTAAGGGCTGGAGTCTCAGTAGGACATGCAATGTTAATTGTTCTCCGGGAGCATTGCAATCACTTCTAGCAGGGCATATTTGCAATACAGCAGGCAAGGTTTAGGCCAGTAAATTTTTTCCTTCAGTTCTAATTGAGTTAGATGTCATTAGTGCCATTCTTCATTGGGATGAACTGAAGAAGAGTCTGTGATTCAGAACAAGTTGAATAAATATGCACCAAATGCCCTGTACTTGTAAATATTTATGACATGCTGTCAGTATAAATTATATTTACTATATATTTCAAAATATTTTTGTTAGCAAACATTTGCTTTAAAAAGATGCATTTCTATACTCTCTACATAAAGTTGTGGATTTCATACTGATAAATTTTCAAATGCAAAACAAATACTCCTTCTTTATGTGTAGACACAGGGAATATGGAGGTTCTGCACCTGTATGGAAGTGAGGAACAGAAGAAACAGTGGCTTGAGCCTCTTCTTCAAGGGAACATTACCTCTTGCTTCTGTATGACAGGTAAATGCCAATCACCATTCTCTCCTTGTGTAGTCAGTCGTCCCGGAGTTATTATGGATGAGCTGAAGAAATACAGGATGTGGTTCTGTGTTTCAGTCAAATTTGCCATTGGCCAAAAATGTGAGTATGTTTATTTTGAGCCTGTTATTAAATTTTGGCATTTTCAAATGTTCAGAAAAATATGATCCTCTCCTTTGTTAGAATATCAGATGATGTTCTCTAGTAGCCTGCTATAGCATTAGTAGCAGAGTAAACTTAGTTTCACAATTTTTTGATGTCATTACTAAAATTGCTATATATGAATATTTAAGATCTTCTTTGCCCTTATGTATGAAATATCTATCTTTGTGATAATTTTATATTGATACTTATAAAATATTCAACTCTTCCATAAACCCAGAAAAATAGAAATTTCACCAGTACTGGACATATGGCTCAAATTATAATCATGTGGGAAAATAAAGGAACATGTCAATAAAAACAGATTTAATATCATTTGTACATAGAAAGCATTAAGAACTCTTCAATAGAAAAAAATCATTGTTTTGTGATTTAGTTTAGAATTATACCAAATTTTGCTTGTCCATAATTTTTAAGTGCTTTCAATAATGGCCAGATTTTATTGTTTTGTATAACATAGCATACATTTATACAGTACTCCTCTTTTATCTGAAGGGGATACGTTCTAAGACTCCCAGTGGGTGTCTGAAAACTGGGATAGTCCTGAATGCTATTTAGACTATGTTTTTTCTTATACATATGTACCTATGATACAGTTTAATCTCTAAATTAGGCATAGTAAGACATTAATAATAACTAATAATAAAATAGAACAATTATAACAATACTCAGAATGGTACACTATTTAAAAATTACAAATTGTTTACTTCTGGAATTTTTCACTTAATATTTTTGGAATGCAGTTGGCCTCATAACTGAAACCTCAGACAGCAAAACTACAGATAACAGGGGACTACTATAATAGCAGAACTGATCTCCGTTTAAATCAGTAATAGGCATTTATTGAATACCTACAGTAGGATGTATTGTCTACAAAGCACTAGGTGGGGTTTACAAAATAAGTAGAATACACAGCCCTCTTTCTAAAAAAGAAAAAAAATAAGTCTTAAGTTTTAGAAACAGAACACATGGGATATCTGAAGGACTCATTTAAAGGGGTGTCATATTAGCAAGTGCAGATTGCTATGATTGAGAGCTAGACAGTTCTGAAGTGCCATGCAATAAAGCAGTTGTCTAAGGGTGTCCCATGGAGAACTTTCTGAAGACCTTAAGTGTTGAACAGGCTTTAAAGAATGCAAAGTATATAAATCAGTGAAGGCATTCCTGATGGAATTTGCAAGGCACATTAGAAATTGCTTAAGACAGTAAACTATATGGGGGGAATCTGTCTTGCCAATCAATATTTAGTACATATCTCCATTGTGAGAAGTAGAAAACAATACTTTTATCTACATTTGCTGATTGGAGAAAGGACTGGGTTGTATCCCAAATCATATATCAGTGAGGAAGCCAAAAATACAGTTCAAAATACTGATCCCCAATGTTCAGTATACTTCATTCATTCACTCATTCTTTCAGTGCACGTTTATTGAATACTGTGTGTAGGTTATGGGAAAAGCAGGGTGGAATGGGGAGTGAAAGGACATTGAAAAAGATAAAGATGTCTTTGTTTTTAAAGTTTTCATATCCTTATCTAAGTCTACTGATGATATCTGCCTGCCTGTAAATTCAGCTTTTGTTTATTTATAGAACCTGATGTAGCTTCAAGTGATGCCACGAATATTGAATGCAGCATCCAACGAGATGAAGATAGCTATGTAATTAACGGCAAAAAATGGTGGAGCAGTGGTGAGTGTTCAGCCTAATTTTTTCACCTAACACACTGATCCTTTGTTCCAGATGCTATGCTAGAATATTGCTATGATACATAGTGATCAGTTTCATGATCATAATTCTTTAAATTCTGCATGTGTAGGCCAGGTGCGGTGGCTAACACCTGTAATCCCAGCACTTTGGGAGGCTGAGGCAGGTGGATCACCTGAGGCCAGGAGTTCAAGACCAACCTGGCCAACATGGTGAAGCCCTGTCTCTACTAAAAATACAAAAATTAGCCAGGTGTGGTGACAGGCACCTGTAATCCCAACTACTCAGGAGGCTGAGGCAGGAGATTTGCTTGACCCCGGGTGGCGGAAGTTGACATGCGCTGAGATGGCACCACTGTACTTCACCCTGGGCAACAAGAGCGAAACTCTGTCTCAAAAAAATGAAAAAATAATTAATTAATTCTGCATGTGAAAGCATTTTCAAACTTAGAAATAGTGGTTGAAAGAAAAAGTAATTTTAAAATAACATATGTTGGTTAGGTGATGTTTAAGAGCAGAAAACATGTCATTTTTTGTAGTTTTAGAGATAAAATTCATTAGTGCATACTATTTTTGACCAATGTAATTGCTAGCAAAATTTAATTTTAGTAGGAGCATATTACATGGATTATAATAATTTACAGCAAATTTTTTTAAAAAAGATAAGCTGTACATGTTAATTAACAATAATTTATTGTGGTACATATTTTTATTACTCAAAAATAAAGTGTTTAAATGAAAATAGGACATTTTATGCATGGGATAATGTATTTTTTAGTCAATCGGCAGTGGTAGACTTGTATAAACAGATGAATTCTTTAGGAAGTTAAGAAATTGGAACCCAGATGAAAATGATAGTCTGAGGATTACACCTAGACTATATATGATAAACCTAACATTTGTCATGATAACCAGTTATTAGTAAGAAAGTTGACATCATAGAAGCAAATTATGTCTTTAGGAACTTACCAGGAATGTTTTGAAAAGAATCAGAAAAGCTTATTATAGTTTGTTTTTTTTTTATTGCTTTTTTGGAGGAGGTGGATTTTATAAAATTACTTACAAATTTAAAAAAAACAGGAAAAAAGATAGTTGGAGTTCTGCTGCATACTTATTCAAGTACTAAAATTATGCAGGGAAATCGTTCTTGTATTAAAACTTAGATAATTAAAAATAATTATAAATGCCTTTTAACATGAACCTCTTTAATAATCTGTTTTAGATGGCCTAACTTATAGCATAGTGGGTTTTTTTTTAACTTGTTTTATTTTGAAATTATTATAAATTCACAGGAAGTTACAAAGATGGTACAGAGTGGTCCTGGGTACCCTTCACCCAGTTTTCCCCAATGGTTCCATCTTACATAATTATACTATAATGTCAAAACCAGGAAATTGAAATTGGTACAATGTGTGTATATAGTTCTGTGTCATTTTATCACTTGTGTAGATTTGTATAAGCACCACTGCAACCAAGATACAAAATTATCACCACAAAGCTCTTCTTCGTTACAGCAGAGTGTTATTCACTTATGCCTGTTACAATTATTTTCCTATATTGTTCATTTTAATTTTCATGTTTTGTACATTTATTATCTTGTTTCCTCTTCTTGGCTTTTATTTCTCCCCCTTCCCCCAACCCATTCTTTATTATAAGTTGCAACCACGGCGTCTGAGATTTGAGTTTCAGAATAATGCAGATGTTTTATTTGAGGGGAAAGCATCATTCATATGTATCCAAGCAAAAGGCAGAGCAGTTTTACCTTTAAATGCTAAAAGTACTGGTTGGCTCTGTAGGACCCTCAGAATCAAAAGGAAACTCCTCCACACTTTGTCTCTGTCTTCTCCAGGACCCATATTTCTTGGCCACTTTCATAACGTAGTTTTTGAAAGATGCTCCCATAAAAACATAAAGGATTGGGTTGAGGCAGCTGTGAAAGAGTGCGATGCTTTCTGTGACTTGGATGGCGATGTCCATGCGTTTGCTCATGTTGCAGCTGGTGATCAGGGAGTAGATGATGTCTATGGCTCGGCAGAACTTGACAATGTTATAAGGCAGTTGAGTGACAATGAAAACTATAACGACTGTGAGCAGAACTTTTAGGGGTCGAGATATTTTAATGTTTGGCATCTTCATGAGTGTCCTTGCTGTGATAAAGTAGCACACCCCCATAATAAGAAAGGGTACTACAAATCCAATGCAGATCTCTAGCATTTGAATCAATGCTTTCATTGATGTTCCTAGGTAGCGGGGGAAAATGGGAATGCACCTAGCATTGTCATTTACTGTATAAAAAACCAGCTGGGGTATGCTCAGCAAGATGGCAGCCATCCAGACACAGAAACAGATGATCCAGCATGGTTTTCCCACTCCTGATTGGCTGGGGACTTTAGTTACTGCCACATATCTGTCTATGCTGATACAAGCCAGAAACTGCATTCCAGAGACAAAGTTTAGTGTGTACAAGGCTGAAGTTATTTTGCACATTATTTTCCCTAAAACCCACCCATGAACTGCATTAACAGCCCAAAAAGGCAGAGTGAATAGAAGGAGTAAATCTGCTACAGCCAAATTCAGGATGTACACATCTGTTTTGGTTCTCTGTTTCTTGTAATAGGCATAAATTGCCACTACCATGGAATTGCCTGCAAGTCCAATGACGAAAACTATTGTGAGGAATACAGGGAGGAAAACTTTTGCAAATTCTCTGACATCTTCTTTGATACAGATCAGTTCATATTGACTGTAGTCATAAGTGCCATTCATTTCATTTTCCTCATAATAATAATCTGTTGACTGGTTCTGTTCCAAAGCCATGGCTCCAATCTAGATGGCAAAGAGAATACAGGATAGATATTTGTCTAAATATGCTTAAAAGGAAACAGTTTTTATCAAGCTGTTTTGTTCTTTCCCTAGAGTATAGCCTGTTGCTGTAACATATGTGAGCCTGAATCTAGCACTCTTTGAAATGCTTTAATGGGAGCCACATTGGAATATGACCCCAAGATTAGTTACTCAAACTTTGCTTGTACAATTCTGTGTGAAAGAGCTTGGATTTGAACAGGACAATAAACATAATGCCCTGGAGAATTTTCTTAATCATTAAATCCTAAATAAAAGTGAAGACTTTTATGTAAAAATGATTTTTAAAATATGAAAATTTAATTAGATTTTAACTAAAAAGAATAAATAGTGTTATAATCTTTACATACATAATTTTGTGAATCGTAAAAGTATATCTACAACAAATTGAATAAAAACGAAAATAGCAAATTACTTGGTTTATTTAAATTAAATTTATTTTTTATTTTGATGTTATTTATAAATTTAATTTAAATAAGTTAAATAAATTCTCTCAGCATTTGCACTAAATTTCACTAGTTGCCTTTTATAAAACAAGATCTCCTTTAGCCAACTTCCCTCCAAAACTGGTCACTACTTGCTTATTGTATACTGTTTTTTAGTAGCACCACTATCTTCTAATCATCTAAGCTGTAAGCCTGCTTCATTCTTGTCTTCTCTCTTACCTTCATCCCTGCTTCCCAATCAGTTCCCAAGTTCTGATTCTGCCTTCCAAGTAGGTCTTGAATCTGTCTTCTCCTCTTAATCTGCACTCTTCCACACATTTGCACAATTCAGCTATTATGTTTCTCACCTAGCCTACTGCAATATCTTTCTTTTTTAATATTTAATATTTAATTTTTTTTTTGAGATGGAGTCTCATTCTGTTGCCCAGGCTGGAATGCAGTGGACAATCTCGGCTCACTGCAACCTCCGCCTCCCGGGTTCATGCGATTCTCCTGCCTCAGCCTCCCAAGTAGCTGGGATTACAGGTACACACCACCATGCCTGGCTAATTTTTTCTATTTTTAGTAGAGATGGGGTTTCACTATGTTGGCCAGACTGTTCTCGCACTCCTGACCTCGTGATCCACCTGCCTCGGCCTCCCAAAGTGCTGGGATTACAGGCGTGAGCCACCGAGCCCAGCCTATTTTTAAATTTTAATCCATTTATTTATTTATTTATTGACCAGGTTATGAGTCTGTATAACTTTTTGTATTTTTGATAGAGACGGGGTTTTGCCAGGTTGCCAAGGCTGGTCTCAAACTCCTGGGCTCAAGCAATCTACCTGCCTTGGCCTCGCAAAGAGTTGGAGTAACAGGCATGAGCCACTGCACCTGGCCAAGCAGTATCTTTCTAACTGATAGCCTGTTGTTACTCCTCCTCAATACCTCCTTTTCAAAAACGTTTTTCTTACTTCCACCAGAGTATTTGATCTCTAAATTGCCAATCTACCTCTCCTCTGTTTTGTTCCTCATCTGGAAGACACATCTCTTCACCTGAAAGCCACAATCCAAGCTCCTTAGCATAACACCCAAGGCTCCCTTCATAATGTGGTGCCATCCATGGCTCCTGCCACCTCTCCCTACTCTGTGTCCACACTAGAGACAGTGATAGGACTAATTTCTCAGCAGTGGGCTGGCACCCACCATGCAGCAGCATCTGTCTACATCATTGCTCATTCTGTTCCTTTATCTACCATACAATTTCCTGCCCTTCCCTGGAAGGGCCAATTCCTACTCAATAAACGCGGATGCGACCTCCCCAGAAGACTTTCCTGATGTATTAGCAATCTCTACATACCCCTCAGAGAACTGATCCATTCTGTGGAAAGGATGCGTTTCCCATACTACCTTGTTCCTCTAGGTTTTAAGTTCCTCAAAGCATGACCTATTTGATTTGTGTTTGTAAATAAAATCTTGTTAATGTGCCTGGCACAAAGTAGCTTCTCAGTAAATATTTGTCAAATTAAAGCTTTTGCCAACAGGTATAAAGCTGTTACTCTAGAATGGATAGATAGTATGCCAGAAATCTTCTATGTCAACATTGTTATTGCACTATGTTGGCTACTAGCACCCCGTAGTATTAAGATAAGCTTGCACAGAATTCGTAAGTTTTGGAATGTATAAAATAATGACTTTCAGTGTTTTTATTATAGTGCTGAATTTTGTTTTCCTTTTTCTTATCCTTTCTATTTTCCTTGGGTTCTTTTTGTCCTCTGAAGTATCTCAAATATTCTTATAGAATCAATAATGAAAATATTATTTTTAAAACAGTGTGCCAACTTATAGTACATTTTCAAAAGAAATGTTCTTATGTTTGCTAACTTTTTTTGAATGAATATAGCAAAGAAAAGAAGGCTCTGAAGAAAGACACCACATAGAAGAATTGCTTTCATTATGTAAAAACCGGGTGCCAACTTTTTTAAATGACTCTTTTTATCATTAAAGTTACTTAAAAAGTTCCAATCTGGAAGACTACTCTGGTCTTCATGTTCTTATGCATTAATTATTAACACAGTATGAACCTTGTTCTTCCTTTCTCTTTCATCAGAAAATCTTGAACCTGATGATAAGAAATAATATGGCCAAATATTATAATATATTAAGGAAGGGAATTTTTAAGTAAGAATTAATCTTACTAAAAATGTGAGTAAAAAAGAGTAGAAATGGAATTATTTGCAGAAATGATCCTTCCGGCAGATATATAGACACGCTTTTAAGTGTCTTTATAATTACCATGAGAATAAAAAAAAAATCAGTACTTGTAAAAGAAAGTGAAAAAAAGTGGTATAATAAAACCTATTTTCTCCTTAACAAAGTTTTACCGACAAGTAATGGCATTTAAAATCGTATTTTCTTCTTGCTATATTAAGATTTTCATTTAAGGTTAAACTGTACAGCTATTTTCAAGTAACCCTTTTTTTTTTTTTTACAAGTAAGCATTTAAACTTTTATGCATCAAGACTCCATCTATATAAGTAAATATACAAGATCTTTGGGCTTAAAAAAATATTCAAGTCAGAATAAGAAAAGAAATAAAGTACCAACCTGTTGTAGTCGGCAGAGAGGAGCAGTCTTGAGTACAGAGTATAAAATCAAATGACCTAACTCCAGCTACTTTTGTTTTCACTTTACACCCCGCCTTTATCTTGTATCCAAGAAGGCTTTCCTGAAATTTAACCTTGTGAGCACTTGATATTTTATTTCCTGTAAAACCATCTGTGAAGTTAAATTCAACTTCTTAAGTGGTTTAGGTTACAAATTTGAGAAAATCCATCTTTTTTCAAAAACTATAGACCTTTCATAGTTTCCACTTAGTCAAAGGGGACAAGAAAGTGCCTGCAGCTGAGCTACTGACTGCTGAACCAGAAGGAGAATCCACCTGAGGGCATCTAGGCAGCACTTGTAGGTAGCATCTAGAGAAATACTCTCTAAAGTTATTTTGCCTAAGGAAGAAAGCAAATATGATTTTAACCAAGGAAAATATCTTTTTGAAGACTAAATTATCAAAGATTAAATTATAAGTAATCATTAGGTATTTGCAATAGAATTTAACATTTTTATGCCACATCATTTAATATTTATTTAAACTACTAGAGTCTTCCTGGCTTCACTGTACTTTCTCTATCCTTGTCCCAGAGTATTTTCCCATGGCTTTAAACTCTCTTGCTTTCTTGTTACCTTTTTTCCCAAAGCTAGAATATGAACCTTCAAAATCCTTCAGTCTGGGAGGCTGTTTATTTTTTCCACATTTCCACACAAGTAAGTTAGAGAAAGAAGAGAAATTTATGCTGATTTGGCCCTCATGGTCTATTTGAACTTGGCTTTCCTCAAATTTGCATGGCAGTTATCTATTTTTTCATGCAAGGCCAGGCTCAGTCTCCACCTGCAGAAATTATTTCAGACCCATGCCATTTTTTCTATTTTTCTCTTTTTTAAAAAAAAACTTTTAAGTTCAGGGGTACACATGCAAGTTTGTTACACAGGTAAACATGTATCATGGGGGTTTGTTGTGCAGATTATTTTATCACCCAGGTATTGAGCCTAGTACCCATTAGTTATTTTTCCTGATCCTCTTTCTCTACCACCCTCTACCCTTTGATAGGCCCCAGTGTGTTTCCCTCCATGTGTCCATGTGTTCTCATCTTAGCTCCCACTTATAAGTGAGAACATGCAGTATTTAGCTTTCTGTCCCTTTGTTAGTTTGCTAAGGATAATGGTCTCCAGCTCCATCCACGTGCCTGCAAAGAACATGATCTCATTCTTTTTTATGGCTACATAGTATTCCATGCTGTATATGTACCACATTTTCTTTGTCCAGTCTATCATTGATGGGCAAATATTTAGGTTGATTCCATGTCTTTGCTATTGTGCATAGTGCTGCAATGGACATATGCATGCATGTGTCTTTATAATAGAATAATTTATATTCCTTTGGGTATATACCCAGTAATGGAATTGTTGGCTCGAATGATATTTCTGTCTTTAGGTCTTTGAGGAATTGCCACACTGTTTTCTACACTCCCACCAACAGTTTGTAAGTGCTCCTTTTTCTTCACAACCTCACCAGCAGCTGTAATTTTTTGAGTTTTTAATAATAGCCATTTTGACTGGTGTGAGATGGTATCTCATTGTGATTTTGATTTGCATTTCTCTAATGATCAGTGATGTTTAGCTTTTTTTCATATGATTGTTGGCGGTATGTATGTCTTCTTTTGAGAACTGTCTGTTCACATCCTTTGCCCACTTTTTAATAGGGTTGTTTTTAATTGTAAATTTAAATTTCTTATAGATGCTGGATATTAGACCTTTGTCAGATGCATAGTTTGCAAAGATTTTCTCCCATTCTGTAAGTTGTCTCTTTACTCTGTTGATAGTTTCTTTTGCTGTGCAGAAGCTCTTCAGTTTAATTAGGTCCCATTTGTCAATTTTTGCTTCTATTGCAATTGCTTCATCATGAACTCTCATAGTAGTCTACAAGATCCCACAAGGTCTGCCTCCATCCCTCATTGTCTCTCTGACCTCATTTCACACTACTCACCCCTTTGCCTACTTGTTCTGCCATACCCAGCTTCTTGCTGTTTGAGAGCATACCAGTCACAATCCTATCAGGGCTTTTGTGCTGGCTCTTCTGTCTGCTGGAATGTGCTCTGTCTTAGTAATTGCAAAGCTCACTTCCTCTTCTCTTTCAAGTCTTTGCCCAATCACCACCAGCTCACTGAGGCAATTCTTCACTACTCTACTTAAAATAACCCTCATCCATCTGGACTCCCAGTCCACCAGACCCATAGCACTTAACATGTTCTAATGCACCATATCATTTATGCTGTGATTGCTGTAATTTGTCTTTCACCCTGTATTAGAACATAAGCTTCATCAGAACAGGGACTTTTGTTTGCTTTGTTCATTGATATATCCCGAGTACCAAGAATAATACCTGACACATAATGACTACTCAAAAATATTTTGAATTAATAAAAACATTCTACTGTCCATTTTGATTATTATCTAACAACTGGTCTGCAACTGCAGCCTCCATAATTATCAGATAATAATCTCTTTGATCTTTCTATATGATACACAATACTGACTTTTAGGCATTTGCAAGTACTATTATTCCTGTCTAGAGCACTCTTCCCACCCTATTTTAGTTCCCTAACTCCTATTTACAATTCAGATTTAGGTCTGACCTTAACATTAATCCAGGAAGCCTTCCATAACTCTTTCAGATTAGATCAGATATACCAGTCTTTTCACTGTATTGTTGGTACTTATTTAAATTTTCTATCTTCCATAGCTATCTTATACCCTGCTGTATCCTCAGCATTTGGCTTGGTACCTTACTCATGGTACCAGCTTAATGAATAATGATTAAATTCATGAATCAATCAACTGATATTTAAGTAACTTATCCTCCACAGACATAAAGTTTAGCAATGGAGCTGGAGTTCTAAATTCAGATCTTTAGTCTATTTTATCATCTTATCTCTTATATCTCTTTATTTTATGATGCCATCTATTATAGAATCTTGATACTCTTTTATAGATTCAAAAGTATCTATCCCTTTCCTTTATTTACCCCACCCCCAACAACCATAAGCTTTTTTGTAAATGGGATTCCTTTATTGCAAATCGGTTGTAATGCTATAATCTTTACATCTTTTGAATTTACACATTGTTTTTGCTAATTCAGACACATACAAAGCCCTTGAGGCATAGGGGATCTCAGGATTGAGCAGCTTCCTCTGGTAGCGTGTGTATGAATGCTGTGTATAAATCATAGTGTATGAATCATGGTGAAACTAGCTGACTGGCTGGCCTTTTCCTGTATTTTCCCTTTTCTCCTGATAGAACTAGGAGAGACAGTGGTAATAGGGAAATTTGACAAAATACGTGAAATAATCATGTAGCTTAGAGGGTAGGCAGAAGCATCACTCACCTTAGGCAACTTTTCAAAGTACTTACTTGATGCTTCTTTAGCTCTCTTCTACTTCTCATATTCCTTAGAACTGACTATGATTCCATTTTGCTGCTTACCATAAATTGGCTCCTACTCTTAACCTCCCTAACATAGCAATGTCCCTTGTTCTTGAAGAATCTCTCTCCCCACACCCTCTTCTCATCCCTCCTCTTGTACTGTCATTTTGCTATGTTGCCCAGCCTGGCCTCCAACTCCTAGACTCAAACAATCCACCCATCCTGGCCAACAAAAGTGCTGGGATGAATCTGTAATTTTGATGAATATTGCCAAATTGTATTCCATAGGGATGGTATTACTTTGTTCTCTACCAATAATGTATAGAAATGTCTGTTTTTCTAAAATATTGTCAATAGAATGTGTTGTTTTACTACCACTTTGCTTTCTAAATGACTTGTAACAAATTCAGCACCCCTTACCTACCCTTGCCAGGCATGTGTGGAATACTGGATAATAAACTGCTTTTGAATGTTTTCATTATTGCTGTACTCCACGTTTATTTGATTAGTGGTAAAGTTAAGCAATTTTAAAAATCTCTTTTATTATTCTTATTTCCTCTTTTTGCAATTGTGTTCTTTGCCCATCTGTATACTGATTTTTAGGTGTTCTTTATAATTTAGGGAGCTAAGTATTGCATACATTTTGTCATAAATGTTGAAACATTCCCCCCCAATTTTTTTTTGCTTTTAAATTTTATTTTCTAATGTACAGCAGTTTTATATAGACAAACCAATTGATCTTTGTCTGATTTTGATTTCATTTATCATTTTTAAGTTTTAAAATCCTTTCTCACCCAGAGATTTAATAAATATTATATTATTTTTCTTCTAGTTTTTTTATGTCTTGGTTTTTTTTAATTTTCAACTCTGCTCTATTTGGGATTTATTTTGATCTAACCATTTTCTATAGTAACAACAGTAATAGCAGCAGCTTGTAACATTATTACTTAATTCTTATTATTTAGATGTAAACCTAGAGATGGATTCAGTGAATTTTGAAGATTTCCCTGTTAAAAATAACACACACTCTAAGAGAACACATGGGATTTTTTTTCTTTAACTGTGGGATTGTACAATGAACATCTTTTTTCATATAAGGGAAATTTTATTGTAAAATAGTACTTACTCCAATTTGAATTGTTAGTATTAAAGCTAAAACCAAATGAAGTTCAGGTGTTCTACCTCAGAAATTCTATGTTGGTAGAAGAAACGGCCTTGAGAATTTGTGGATGGCTATCTATGCTTCATAGTATGTAATTGTTTACATCACTTTCTTAATTGTTACAAACCACACTATACTCAAAGGTCATGTTTTTTTATCCACCTATCATCTCTCCTTTTGTTAGAAAATGATTTTGTGGGTAAAAGCCTAAGAAATTAAAAATCATCAACTAACATCAGGGAGATGTAATTTTTAGCCTGACTTAATCCTGGCACTTGAACAGCCTTGAAATACCACAGTGTCTGGATTAAAAACAAAATTACTTTATCTAAGCCATCTGTTTTCATTCATGAAGGCCTGTGACACAGCATATATGTTTAAATGTTCTCTGTTCTATTCAGATTTCCTCTAATATATTTTATTTATGACATTGGGTATCTTGTTCATTAACTAAAATGACACAAACAAGCAAAACTCTCTATAAAAGAAGGTTGTTTCAACTGCTGCACTTGCCAAATTCTGCTTGTAGCTAAGGGGAGATGATATCTTTGGGAAGGGTTTTTCTCATTTTTCTGAAACATCATTGTTAAATACAAATATTTCAAATTCTACAAACTATGTATTCACCCTTACTTCCTCTACTTCATGATGACAACAGACATCCAACTTAAAAATTGTATTTTTTAGAATATTAATTGTTCTCCATATAAGATTGAGGAAGACAGAATCAAAGAATTATTTGCCTTACTTCTTGAGTTTCTTCAAAATTTACCTGGTATCGGAAATCTATTGGGCATTTATATAAGGCTGTGGCAACATTTTTGTTTCTTTGCTTTGTTTGGAGACAAAATCTCACTCTATTGCCTAGGCTAGAATGCAGTGGCATGATCACGGCTCACTGCAACCTTGACTTCCCGGGGCTCAAGCAGTCCTGCCATCTCAACATCCCGAGTAGCTGGGACTACAGATGTGCTGCACCGTGCTTGGTGAATTTTTAAATTTTTTTGTATAGACGAGGTGTCGCTAGGTTGCCCGGGCTGGTTTCAAACTCTTGAGCTCAAGCGATCCTGCCACTTCAGCCTCCCAAAATTCTGGGATTACAGATATGAGTCATCATGCCCGGCCAACATTTTTAAATGATAGAAAGAATGAGGTAAGAAGTAATATTGGGAAATATTAGATACAAAATTATATATTCTGAATATTCGAAAAAGAGGGCTTTAGACCAGGGTTCAAAGGAATTAGAAGATTTTACTTCAGCTCACTGATGCTGGATAGCTAGCATCAGTGAAACCTTGAAAGATTTACCCAGATGTTCTTGATTGCCAGAATGGAAAGTAGAGAAAGAAAAATATCTCTGAAAATGGGCACATAGACCAATGGAACAGAATAGAGCCCAGAAATAAGGCTGCTCACCTATGACCATCTGATCTTTGACAAGGCTGACAAAAACAAGCAGTGGGGAAAAGACTCCCTATTCTATAGATAGTGCTGGGATAACTGGCTAGCCATATGCAGAAGATTGAAGCTGGACCCGTACCTTACACCATATACAAAAGTTAATTCAAAATGAATTAGAGACTTAAATGTAAAACCCAAAACTATAAAAACCCTGGAAGATGACCTAGGCAATACTGTCCTAGACATAGGGGTGGGCAAAGGGTACATGACAAAGACACCAAAGGCAATCACAGCAAAAGCAAAAATTGACAAGTGAGATCTAATTAAACTTAAGAGCTTCTGCATAGCAAAAGAAACTATCAGCAGAGTGAGCAGACAACCTACAGAATGGAAGAAAATATTTGCAAACTATGTATCTGACAAAGGTCCAATATCCAGCATCTATAAGGAACTTGAACAAATTTACAAGAGAAAAACAATCTCATTAAAAAGTGGGCGAATGACATGAACAGAAACTTTTCAAAGGAAGATATATATGCAGCCAACAAAATATGAAAGAAACCTCAATATCACTGATCATTAGAGAAATGCAAATCAAAATCACAATGAGATACCATCTCACGCCAGTCAGGATGGCTATTATTAAAAAGTCAAAAAATAACAGATGCGGGTGAGGTTGTAGAAAAAAAGGAACACTTAATACACTGTTGGTGGGAGTGTGAATTAGTTCAACCATTGTGGAAAGCAGTATGGAGATTCCCCAGAGAGCTAAATACAGAACTACTGGCCGGGCACGGTGGATCATGCCTGTAATCCCAGCACTTTGGGGGGCTAAGGCGGGAGGATCACTTGAGGCGAGGAGTTTGAGACCAGCCTGGCCAACATGGCAAAACCCCAAAATACAAAAATTAGCCAAGCATGGTGGCCATGCCTGTAATCCCAGCTACTCAGGAGGCCAAGGCACGAGAATCACTTGAACCTGGGAGCAGGGAGATTGCAGTGAGCTGAGATCGCGCCACTCTACTCCAGCCTTGGCAACAGAGTGAGACTGTCTCAAAAAAATCCAAAAACAAAAACAAAAAACCCAGAACTACCATTCAACCCAGCAATCCCATTACTGGGTATATACCCAAAGGAACAGAAATTATTCTACCATAAAGACATATGCATGTGAATGTTCATTGCAGCACTACTCACAATGGAATCAACCTAAATGCCCATCAATGACAGATTGGATAAAGAATATGTGGTACATATACACCATGGAATACTATGCAGTCATTAAAAAGAATGAGATCATGTCTTTTGCAGGAACATGGATGGAGCTGGAGGCTATTATCCTTAGCAAATTAGCACAAGAACAAATACCGCATGTTCTCACTTATAAGTGGGAACTAAATGATGAGAACTTACGAACGCAAACAAGGAAACAACAGACACAGAGGTCTGCTTGAGGGTGGAGGGTGGGAGGAGGGAAAGGAGCAGAAAAGATAACAATTGGGTACTGGGCTTAATACCTGGGTGGTGAAATAATCTGTGCAACAAACCCTAATGACACAAGTTCACCTATGTAACAAACCTTCACATTTACCCCCCAAACCTAAAATAAAAGTTTGCTTTTTTTAAAGAAAATATTTCTAATGAAAATGAACCTCAAATCATGTTGTTATGTCCTAATCTGATTTTCAGAAGTATGCCCACCATGGAGTATGCCCACACAATGCATTATGTGGGGCAAGTAGCGTTGATCCTTCAGCCTGTAGGCATCTAGAGAGGCACTGGCCAAGGCTTCCTACAACTAAAACCTCAAAGATAGTCCCAAGTAGAAAAATATCCAGTTGAAAAATTAGAAGTGAACGCTCTGTAAATGATTCTTCCTCTATAATTTCTAACTAAGAATCAAAGCATGATTGCATATTATTGCATAGCCAGGGATAAAAGATTACCCCAACTGAGCATTTCCAGATAAGTCATTTAGGTAAGATCCACAATGAAAGGTAAGTATTGTCATCTGCCATTAAATCATCCTAATGTTCTTTGGGTTGGTCCTCAGATTAGTGGAATTTTGTCATAGTCCATTCAGGCCACTATTACACAACACCATTAATTAGGTAACTTCTAAACAACAAAAATGTATTTCTCATGGTTCTAGAGGCTGAAAAGTCTAAGAACAAGGCACCAATAGAGTTGGTGCCTGGTGAGGGCCTGCATTCTGGTTCATAGATGGCACCTTCTTGTTCTGTCCTCATATAGTGAAAAAGGTGACCAAGCTCTCTCAGGCCTCTTTGATAAATACACTAATTGCATTTTAATCACTTAATCACCGCCTTTCGGACCAAAGGCTTCATCTCCACATAAAATCAGCTTGGGGGTTAGGATTCCAAAACATGACTTCTAGGGGGTGACATATACATTCAGACCATAGCAGTTTCTTTACCTGTTAGCATCTATAAAATCAAAAGGACATATTTCTGTAAATATAAACAATGATAAACAATTTGAAAATTTAGACGTTTGGATAAATTAGGAAAGCCAAATAGAGTTACTGTGAAGAATATGACATTTAAGATTTTTAAAACTTAACTTTGAAATATGTGAATGGGGGATCTTTTCTCATTAGTACAAATGAGGATGGTCCTTTCTGAACTGATTAAAACAAGATTCCATTAAATTTGAAGGAATCTAAATTATAAGCAACAGTTTTAAAGCCGTTGCATTTCAATCTTAACTATATTTTACGTATGTTATTTATAGTATGGAATAATGGAGGAGATTAGAATTTTAAGCTCTTGGTTTTATTGGTTTTGAAATTTTAGAGCTAAGATTTCTAGTTCTGCTTATGTGATCATTTTGAAGTGAGCATTGCATTTCTCAAACTTCAGCTGATAAATAAAACTCATATATTTGTCATGAATAAAAATGTATATTTGTATTCAAATATTAATGAATGTATAAGAAATTATAACACTGGGTAAGTGAAGACCTGATTTTTGGCAAAGTTTAAAGGTAAGAACTCTGGGGGAGTTCTACGCTAGTCTGGTGGAGTAAGTGCTTAAGATGAACCTTCCCACAGATAACAGCTAAAAAGCTACAAAATACCTACATGCATACATACATACATACATACATACATACATACCTGCCTGCCTGAAATTCTCAGGGAAGTGAACAAAGGCAAGCTGATTTTGTAGGGGAGTCAAAATTTGGAAAGTGAGATGGGCACAGGGTGAGTTTTTCATTTTTAGACTTTAGCCTGAGGAAACAGTGTGGAACAGGAAAGCTAAAGCTTCTTTAGAAAACTCAGATCTCTGTGTCCTGAGGAACCAGAGGAGAGTGTCTAGGGCAACCATCACTGCTGGGAAATGAGGTGGGTATTCCTGGAAAGGAAAAAGCCAGAAAAGGGGAGCTCCAGCTTTCATGTGGAAACTTTGCTTGGGTCTCTGGCTAACTCCTGAATGAAAGTAATGCGCAGGGCAAACTCAAAGCACCTTGCAGCTAAATAATAAGAACTACGCTGAAATTTGATTTCCCATCCACCTGAATTGTGATAGACTCTGCAGTTTTACTCTACCTAAGTTAATTGCCTGTCAAAACAAAACCATCAACATTCTGTGGAGGAATATGACAGAATCCAGAGTTTCAAAACAAAAAAATCACAATGTCCGGAATACAATCTAAAATTGCTCAACCAATGAAGAATAAGGAAAACATGACCCATTTTCAAGGGGGAAGGCCAACACCCAAATGATTCAAATGTTGGAATCATCAGACAAGGACTTAAGGCAGCTATTATAAATGTGCTCATTGAGGTCAAGAAAAATAAAACATTAAGAAATATCAGAAGAGAAATAGAAAACATAAAAAATAACCAGGTAGGAATATCAGAACTTAAAGGTAAAATATCTGAAAAGAAATTCACTGACTGGGCTTAATAACATAATGGAGATAACAGAGGAAAGAATGAACGAACTTGAAGATAGACAACAGAAATTACCCAATATGAAGAAAAGATGTAAAGAAATGAACAATCCTAGGGACTCTAAAATATGTGTGATTAGAGTTCCAGAAGAGGCAAGAGGGAGAGATTTGCATTTGAAAAAAGAATAAACTAAAAATTCTAAAACTGCTAATTATTTTTGATTGATATAAAATAAATGTGTTTAACCTGAATTAAGGGTCTTTGTTGTCTAATGTCAGTGCACGTACCAGAGTTTTGTTTTTTTGTTCTTTTTTGAGACAGAGTTTTGCTCTTGTTGCCCAGGCTGGAGTGCAATGGCGCAATCTCAGCTCACTCACTGCAGCCTCTGCCTCCCGGGTTCAGGCAATTCTCCTGCCTCAGCCTGCCAAGTAGCTGGGATTACAGGCGCCCACCACCATGCCTGGCTAATTTTTTGTATTTTTAGTAGAGACGGGGTTTCGCCATGTTGGCCAGGCTGGTCTCGAACTCCTGGCCTCAGGTGATCCGCCCACCTCAGCTTCCCAAAGTGTTGGGATTACAGGCGTGAGCCACTGTGCCCAGCCTATTATAGACTTTTTGATGCATGATAAAATGTTCTACTTGAAAAACATTACATTTTTTAACTTGTATTTATGAAAATGCTTGTATTTTTCTTTTAGTGAAAATTTATTTTCAGTATAATAGTTTCTTATTTTATCTAATAAGATGATGGAGCAAATGCCCAGAAGGGTAGAGAAAATGGTTTTTCTCTCTCAGATGTAATATAGACAATAAGTCATGTATTTGGGGGAAAAATGGGACAGATAATTTTGCCCAACATATTTGGTATCTGATTGCAGTGGGACATCTCTTGGTCAATTTAATGCATGTGGTTTTTTTTTTATTACACTTTAAGTTTTAGGGTACATGTGCACAACGTCTAGGTTTGTTACATATGTATACATGTGCCATGTTGGTGTGCTGCACCCATTAACTCGTCATTTAACATTAGGTATATCTCCTAATGCTATCTCTCCTGCCTCCCCCCACCCCACAACAGGCTCTGGTGTGTGATGTTCCCCTTCCTGTGTCCATGTGTTCTCATTGTTCAATTCCCACCTATGAGTGAGAACATGCGGTGTTTGCTTTTTTGTCCTTGCGATAGTTTGCTGAAAATGATGGTTTCCAGCTTCATCCATGTCCCTACAAAGGACATGAACTCATCATTTTTTATGGCTGTGTACTATTCCATGGTGTATATGTGCCACATTTTCTTAATCCAGTCTATCATTATTGGACATTTGGGTTGGTTCCAAGTCTTTGCTATTGTGAATAGTGCCACAATAAACATACGTGTGCATGTGTCTTTATAGCAGCATGATTTATAATCCTTTGGGTATATACCCAGTAATGGGATGGCTGGGTCAAATGGTATTTCTAGTTCTAGATCCCTGAGGAATCACCACACTGACTTCCACAATGGTTGAACTAGTTTACAGTCCCACCAACAGTGTAAAAGTGTTCCTGTTTCTCCACATCCTCTCCAGCACCTGTTGTTTCCTGACTTTTTAATGATTGCCATTCTAACTGGTGTGAGATGGTATCTCATTGTGGTTTCGATTTGCATTTCTCTGATAGCCAGTGATGATGAGCATTTTTTCATGTGTCTTTTGGCTGCATAAATGTCTTCTTTTGAGAAGTGTCTATTCATATCCTTTGCCCACTTTTTGATGGGGTTGTTTGTTTTTTTCTTGTAAATTTGTTTGAGTTCATTGTAGATTCTGGATATTAGCCCTTTGTCAGATGAGTAGATGGCAAAAATTTTCTCCCATTCTGTAGGTTGCCTGTTCACTCTGATGGTAGTTTCTTTTGCTGTGCAGAAGCTTTTTAGTTTAATTAATTGAAGTCAATTTTGTCTTTTGTTGACATTGCTTTTGGTGTTTTAGACATGAAGTCCTTGCCCATACCTATGTCCTGAATGGTATTGCCTAGGTTTTCTTCTAGGGTTTTTATGGTTTTAGGTCTAACACGTAAGTCTTTAATCCATCTTGAATTAATTTTTGTATAAGGTGTAAGGAAGGGATCAAGTTTCAGCTTTCTACATATGGCTACCCAGTTTTCCCAGCACCATTTATTAAATAGGGAATCCTTTCCCCATTTCTTGTTTTTGTCAGGTTTGTCAAAGATCAGATAGTTGTACATATGCGGCATTATTTCTGAGGGCTCTGTTCTGTTCCATTGGTCTATATCTCTGTTTTGGTACCAGTACCATGCTGTTTGGTTACTGTAGCCTTGTAGTATAGTTTGAAGTCAGGTAGCGTGATGCCTACAGCTTTGTTCTTTTGGCTTAGGATTGACTTGGCAATGCAGGCTCTGTTTTGGTTCCATATGAACTTTAAAGTAGTTTTTTCCAATTCTGTGAAGAAAGTCATTGGTAGCTTGATGGGGATGGCATTCAATCTATAAATTACCTTGGGCAGTATGGCCATTTTCATAATATTGATTCTTCCTACCCATGAGCATAGAATGTTCTTCCATTTGTTTGTATCCTCTTTTATTTCATTGAGCAGTGGTTTGTAGTTCTCCTTGAATAGGTCCTTCACGTCCCTTGTAAGTTGGATTCCTAAGTATTTTATTCTCTTTGAAGGAATTGTGAATGGGAGTTCACTCATGATTTGGCTCTGAAAGGAAAAAGTGGTACCAGCCACTGCAAAAACATGCCAAACTGTAAAGACCATCGAGGCTAGGAAGAAACTGCATCAACCAATGAGCAAAATAACCAGCTAACATCATAATGACAGGATCAAATTCACACATAAAAATATTAACCTTAAATGTAAATGGGCTAAATGCTCCAATTGAAAGACACAGACTGGCAAATTGGAAAAAGAGTCAAGACCCATCAGTGTACTGTATTCAGGAAACCCATCTCACGTGCAGAGACACACATAGGCTCAAAATAAAGGGCTGGAGGAAAGTCTACCAAGCAAGTGGAAAACAAAAAAAGGCAGGGGTTGCAATCCTAGTCTCTGATAAAACAGACTTTAAACCAACAAAGATCAAAAGAGACAAAGAAGGCCATTACATAATGGTGAAGGGATCAATTCAACAAGAAGAACTAACTATCCTAAATATATATGCACCCGATATAGGAGCACCCAGATTTATAAAGCAAGACCTTAGAGACCTACAAAGAGACTTAGACTCCCACACAATAATAATGGGAGACTTTAACACCCCACTGTCAACGTTAGACAGATCAACGGGACAGAAAGTTAACAAGGATATCCAGGAATTGAACTCAGTTCTGCACCAAGCGGACCTAGTAGACATCTACAGAACTCTCCACCCCAAATCAACAGAATATACATTCTTTTCAGCACCACACCACACCTATTCCAAAATTGACCACATAGTTGGAAGTAAAGCACTTCTCAGCAAATTCAGCAAATGTAAAAGAACAGAAATTATATCAAACTGTCTCTCAGACCACAGTGCAATCAAGCTAGAACTCAGGATTAAGAAAACCACTCCAAACTGCTCAACTACATGGAAACTGAACAACCTGCTCCTGAATGACTACTAGGTACATAACGAAATGAAGGCAGAAATAAAGATGTTCTTTGAAACCAACGAGAACAAAGACACAACATACCAGAATCTCTGGGACACATTCAAAGCAGTGTGTAGAGGGAAATTTATGGCACTAAATGCCCACAAGAGAAAGCAGGAAAGACCTAAAATTGATACCCTAACATCACAATTAAAAGAACTAGAGAAGCAAGAGCAAACACATTCAAAAGCTAGCAGAAGGCAAGAAATAGCTAAGATCAGAGCAGAACTGAAGGAAATAGAGACACAAAAAACCCTTCAAAAAATCAGTGAATCCAGGAGCTGGTTTTTTGAAAAGATCAACAAAATTGATAGACCTCTAGCAGACTAATAAAGAAGAAAAGAGAGAAGAATCAAATAGATGCAATAAAAAATGATAAAGGGGATATCACCACCGATCCCACAGAAATACAAACTACCATCAGAGAATACTATAAACACCTCTATGCAAATAAACTAGAAAATCTAGAAGAAATAGATAAATTCCTCGACGCATACACCCTCCCAAGACTAAACGAGGAAGAAGTTGAATCTCTGAATAGACCAATAACAGGGTCTGAAATTGAGGCAATAATTAATAGCTTACCAGTGAAAAAAAGTCCAGGACTAGATGGATTCACAGCTGAATTCTACCAGAGGTACAAGGAGGAGCTGGTACCATTCCTCCTGAAACTATTCCAATCAATAGAAAAAGAGGGAATCCTCCCTAACTCATTTTATGAGGCCAGCATCATCCTGATACCAAAGCCTGGCAGAGACACAACAAAAAAACAGAATTTTAGACCAATATCCCTGATGAACATCGATGTAATGCATGTTGTTAAAAAATTTTCTGTCCCAGTTAGTTAAGAGTCCTCTCTCTTCCTTTTTAGTCGTATATAAAATCATTTATATGCATATATGATTGCATGTTCTTACAACTCTGAGGCTGTGACTATGGAGAAAGCAGGCTTACAATTCAAGTTCTAAGTCGGTTTAAGGTGTCTCCTTATTCTACCACCAGCCTGGAGGTGAACAGAGTCACCCATTTTAGGCACACTGCCTTCCTCTCCTTCCCTCCCTTTCTCAGATAATATCTATTTTAGGTGTTTTTTTTTTAAATCAGTTTTAGCATTTTGTCAGAGAGTGTGCATGTAGGATTTCTGGAGTTATGTATTACATAGAAGTGGGGAAATGACTCCTCCACAGCCCTCAGATTAGATATTCAGATTAAAAGCAAATTCAGAAAGAAAAATAAAACATTGTAGTTCACTCAACAAGCCTCTCAGTCTCCTACTTGGGAATCCACAGATTTGTTTACAAGATGGGTTTTTTTCTTTAATGTTTTTAAAGTCATTATTACCCAGTTAGAAGTAGTAACAAAGGAAAAAATATCTGAGAGCATTGTTTCCCATGTCTCCACATCCAAACATCATGCCCTACAGAAAACTCTTTTTTTTTTTTAACAGTTTCTGTTTGTAGTTCTCTGGTTTCCATTATAATTGTAGATAAAATATTTTTTCTCTTTCTTAATTTATTCATTTTAGACAGTATCCATTGGCTCTCCAATTTGAATAATGACAATTTCACTCATTTGTCTCATAACTCTCTCTGCTCTTTCTTAACGTATTTATCTTATTACATTGTTTTTTGTTGTTTTTTTATTTTTTAAACCTCAAATAATTGTTAAAGTTCTCTGCATCCTCATTTCACAGATTCTATTCAAGCTCTACTTTAATATAAGAATATGTATACTCTTAACCCTTTCTACACTCTTTATCCCTCCCTTTCTTATTGTAACTTGTATCAGCTACAGCTTATACTTTCACATTTTCAGGATTACTAATATTTATATTCTGTCTTGCAGCCACAACTGTAGTTGACTACAGGATAACTGTAAACTTTGAAAACCAATACATAGCACTTATCTTAGAGGACCATGTAAATATTGTTTGATGCTGGCCTAAGTAGTGTGTTAGATTTTGTGTCCTTCTGTAACTGATGCAATATAAAATCACCTGGGCCATTCTGAGGACTGTTTCTAGAATCAAGGTCAATTAGAATGCTTTTCTCATATACTATATATTAAATTCATGTCACATTATTTTATATTTGGACCACAGTTCACTTGTGCATTTCAACATTATTTTCCTGGAGTTTCTAATTGCCATGTCTCTTTATTTGCATTATTTGCTTTTATAATATCTCCTTCCCCTTACATATACACACATCTCTAGATTGCACCTTTACTTCTATTGACTTTCTTTCCTGGAGACTTCTCTCTTGAAGACTTTAGTATTTATTTTCCAATCTGGACTGATTACCCTTTAGGCATACTTTGATGCAATTATTCTGGGATTTTCAGATAATACTTTCCTGGGATCCATTATCTTTTGGATTCTAAGACTTCCTTTCTCTTGACTTACTCCCTTATTTTGCTCGAGTATATTCTTAATTTTTTGAGAAAAAGTACATAATAGTTAAATTCTCTGAGATCTTACATATCTGAATATGTATTTATTCTTCCATTACATAAATTGATAGTTTGGACAAGTATAAAATTCTAAGTTGAACTATTCATTTTCATCTAGCATCCCTGGTGGTTGTTGAGAAGTCTGATGCCAGACTAATCCTCGGTCCTTTTAGTTGGCTTGTTTTATTCTCTCTGAAACCTTTTAAGATTTCCTCTTCTTTGTTGATGTTTTGAAATGTCACAAGCATTTATCTAATAGATTCTTCTTGCTAGTCAATGGCTTTTTCAATCTGAAGATGTTTTTCTTCAGTTCTAGAAAATGTTCTTCTGCTCATTTCTTCAATAAATTATTCCCTCTGTTTTTCTCTGTTTTCTCTTTATTTGACTCCTTTTACTCTGATGTTAGACTTCATGTTTTGGCTCTAAGTGTCTCTTACATTTTTGGCCAGTCATTCTCTTTAATATTGCAGGTTCTTTTTACATACTACAGATTCTTGGTTTTCTATTCACACTTAAGAGAAAAGAAAGGGTAGCTGGTTGAGGTTTCATCTGTTATTAACTTCTGCCCATCTTCTTCCCATAATATTTTGAAATAAATCTCAGACATCATGTCATTTCTTTCCCAAATATTTTAGTATGTGTCTCTGTAAGGGCTCTTTAAAAAATGTAACCACAATACCATTAGCACACCTAAAATTACTTAATATCATGACATTTCCAATAACTATTCACATTTCTAATTGCTTAATAATTACCATTAATACTTTTTATTTTGTTTGATTGAATTAGGATCTAAGTAAGGTCTAAAAATTGCTGTTGGTTGATACGCCTTTTAGGTCTCTCTCTTTTGATCTTACAAGCTACTTCTCTATCTCTCTTTTTTCTTTTTATTGCAATTTAATTGTTGAAGAAACTGGATTAGTTGTCTTATAGATTTCCCACAGTCTGAACTTTACTGATTACATTCCTGCAATGTCCTTTAATATGTTCCATGGAGTTTATCCTTTTAACTCCTGGAATTTTATAATATTATTCAACTATTTGACATCATTCCTAACATTTCTCATTAAATCTTTATATGATTTCAAATCTCCTCAAACCTCTTTTTATAATAAATCAGAAAAAAGAATCCGATCATTTGTTTGAGACTTTGTACAGATGTGTTTAACTTAATCTGATCCAGTTGTGTGCAGCCTTGTAATTGAAAATCTAGTCAAATGGTAGTTTTCCCAAGGGACTAGACTTACTAGTAAACATTAAAAGTAATTTTTGCAAAAAGACCCTTGTAGGCAATTGCCACAGACCCCTGAACTGTGATAAAATAAAATTTTGCATTAAAATGAAAAAATATTTTTAAAATTTGACCCTTAAGAAATTAATAAAAGAACCAGGCTTATTGAAAGTGGGATCACAGCCTCATATACGTTGACATATAAAATATTATATTAGACATATAAAATTTCTCAGCTTTTCTAGCATGCTGATGTCTGAAATGGTGTAAATGGGAGAGGTGGCAGTTCTTTCATGCTGCTTTGACTTCTGGTTATTTTTGTGTAGCAGCTTTCATTGATGGGGTCCATTCTTGGCCTTGCCTAATCATTTTTCTTGGATGATATAGAGTGTTACAAAAGAATTATTATCTTAATGAATCAGGAATGTTCTCTCTATTTGTTTTCTGACATAGGTAAAGTGGGAAGGATTAGAACCTTCAAGGTGAAATGTCAAACTAGAAATTTCCTTTTATAATCTGCTTGTGTTCCCCTTGGTTTTAGGAGCTGGGAATCCCAAGTGCAAAATTGCAATTGTTTTGGGAAGAACTCAAAATACTTCTCTCTCCAGGTAATTAAACAATTCTGATTGAGAAACCTGTGTAGGAATGAGCCAGTCTTCCTCCTATCTAGGTAATTTACTTAAAATTCACTGTTTGGACTCACAAATCATAATGTAAGATATGAGAGTAAATGTCATATATTTGTATTTCACAAGTATTTTCTAACAGGTGTTTTTGGAAAACATTATAGGGAGTATTGCTGAACATTCTTCGCTGTGGAATTTTCAGTATTAGAAAGTGTTGCTAAATTATCAAAGCTGTTTGGATTAAATTATCAGACAAATTTTTTCAGACCTGTGTAATGAAGTGATTAGATGTTTAGATCAAAGGCAATAATCTTGAAATGTTTAATTATATATATAAGTTCCCAGTTACCATTGTTGAGCAGTGAGAAGCTTCAATCAAACAACTCATTTATTTTCAAATCATTGTTTCTGTTCCAGATCACAGCCTGCATCAGACTATGTTGGTGTACGTCTTTTACACAGTTCCCATTCCAGTCATCACTGCTTACATGACTACATGAAAACATCAAAAAGACAATTGTGATTCTGCTTATTATCTGTTTTATTTTTCTTCTTAGCAAACTTTTTCTAATACAATTTTTCTTTTGACTAGACACAAACAGCACAGCATGATTCTTGTTCCCATGAACACACCTGGAGTAAAAATAATAAGGCCTTTGTCAGTTTTTGGCTACACAGGTAGGTATCCAATAAATATGACCATGCATTAGCAAGCAGGAAGGCTAGAATATGCAGTAACATTGAAGGCAATAGCATTTTAATGCATAAGATAGATTCTTAGATATTCCTTTGTCTGTGACAACTGTCTTAATATAAATGCTGGTGGAGTTCAGAGTAGAGCCAATAAAAAGAAATAGTATAGCATTTATGTAATTTATAATTATATAAATTATAGAATTTATAGAATATAAATTCTGCCTTTTTGGGAAAGGGCAGATTGTATTTAAGGAAGAGCAACACTACCAGTCTTTTCTCTGTCATTCATAAAAATGGATTAATGCACAGATAATCCACAATAAAATTATTTTTATCTCCAATTTTAGCCCTCTTAATCAATCAACTTACAAGAACTGTTAAAAAGCAATGAGTTTTTGACTTATTTGAGTGCAAAATTTTCCTTCCTCTGCCCTTGGGTGGGACTTCTAAGAAGCAAAGATCCATTTGTTTCCTGCCACCTACTGTGGCACGTGTTCATTGTGTACAATAAATATTTGCTAAGATCACCCTCTCAGCAAGTATTTGCTTAGCCACCATGCCCAGCTAATTTTTGTATTTTTAGTAGAGACGGGCTTTCACCATGTTGGCCAGGCTGGTCTCGAACTCCTGACCTCAGGTAATCCACCCTCCTCGGCCTCCCAAAGTGCTGGGATTATAGGTATGAGCCACCGGGCCCAGCCCCTGGCTTTCTTTTTATCATTGAATATGACTAATGAATATGTTCAAGTGGCAGATATAAGACTTGCAGTTTTATAGAATCACTTATCAGTTAAGATGCAGCTGTAGAGTATACCCACAGGGTAAGCATAGGTGGCAAGATGGGATGAGCAAGCTTGCTGGAGAAAATTGCATGTAGGAAATTGTTGGGTTGCAGCGAAACGGCCGCAAAGATACCAAAAATGCGTTTATAATATAGTTGAGCTGCAAATAATTTCCATTGCAGAGGCTACATTTGATTATTCAGTATGAAAACTTTACTAGCACCTCTCCAACTCCCTGTGTCCAGGGCCAAAAGAAACAGTGTGGAGAAGGCTGATTATTGTCTCCTCTGACAGGAAAAGGGTGTAGAGTTAGCATGAGATTATCTCTAAAACTTGGCAGGGAGAAGGGGTGATGCAAAGATAAAATGTGAACGTGTTCCTGGCCTCAGTGTTTCAAATGCCAGTATTTTCAAGAGACGAACACACAGTGGAACAAGTCTAGACTGGGAGTAAACCTACCTGAAGGTCTAGTTTCTGTATCATCACTAATGCCAAGCCTGCTCTTTCCCCTCAAGCAGGCCCCTGTCATCTTTAGGCGTTGGTTTCCACAATGATAAAATAAGAAACATGGATTACATTACTCATTTTTAATTTTTGAAACATTGAAACTTTTTTCCATGCAAATTGTTTGGAACCCCATATGTAAAATATTTCAAAGAAGCAGCAATAATAAAACAAATAAAATACTCTGGCTGGATCTATGGAGCCTGGTCTTCCTTTTTCCTAGCTCTCTGAAATTGTACTTCAGAGAATGAATTAGAAAACATCTGGATCAAAGGGTTTCTCTTCTTGAACAGTTGATGAGTTTTCTGGGCTGCTGGGTCCTGGGGTTCAGGGCTGAGGCTTACCTCAGAATGTTCATGCCATATGGATCTTTGAAATCCTATTTTCTTCAAGTAATTATATTTCAGCAGATTAAGAATATGTGACTCTTTTTTAGTCAACTCCTTTTGCTCTAAATTTTATTTTCTATTTTATAGATAATTTTCATGGAGGACATTTTGAGATCCATTTTAATCAAGTGCGAGTTCCTGCCACAAATCTAATACTAGGTGAGTTGAATTTGGAAATGATTCTTCAGTATTGTACATTAATATTTCAGCTCTAAATCTGGAAAAGATAAGTCTTTCCAGATTTAGACCTGAAGTCTACCTTGATTTAGATATTAGGTTCGTGCAAAAGTTATTGCGGTTTTTGAACTGCAATTACTTTTGCACCAAGGTAATTGCAGTTTTTGGCAAAAGCCGCAATTACTTTTGCACCAACCTAATACTTTCCCTTCTTGTTTACTCCATTTGTCAAGGGAAAGTTTTCTGTTTGGCGGATTTTCTTACATGGAATGGTGAGGTTTTATTTAAGTGTTGGATGTGGTTTTCTATATCACATCAATTGAAAAGATAATATGAAAATTATATAATTCAGAGCAATACACTTTCTCCTAGAACATGATCTGTAGGCCTCTATTTGTTTTAAGAAAACCTCAGTACTTTATGAATTCAAGTATTAGATATAAGTTAGAAGCATAAATAACTTTGAACACTGTATGCCATCCTCTTGCTTATTAGAATACTATATCCCTTTCAAAGAACATCTAGAATACCACCTCTTCCAGGAATGTTTTTGTGTTCATCCCATCCATTCACCAGGCCCCTGATACCTGCCAGGCCCTGAGGTTATAATGATGAACAGAAAATCTCTTCTTCCTTTGCCTTTGTTTCTCTCTGTATCTCTTACCCTTACCCACTCTTCTGGATTCTAAACTCCTAGTACAGGGACTATGTGTTATTCCAACTTTGTATCTATTGCAGCATTAATAAAATAGCTTATGCATAGTACATACTTAAGAGACAGTTCTGAAATTTGAAATGTTTAATGGTGGTGGTTTTAAAAACATAGAAATCAAAATTCCCATGAATTCATAGTGAACCTTATTATAGAACTGACTTTTTTTCACTAGAAAGCCATTTTTATTAAGGGCAGCTCATCTCTTTCCCAGGATTTGTATAAATAACAAAAGGAATGGGCTAGGCCATTTTCACATTCCCCCTTTTTTTCCCCTTTCTTCCCAGGTGAAGGTAGGGGATTTGAAATTTCCCAAGGCCGCCTTGGACCTGGCAGAATCCACCACTGTATGAGAACAGTAGGTTTGGCGGAACGCGCTTTGCAGATCATGTGTGAGCGGGCAACACAAAGGATAGCTTTCAAGAAGAAGTTGTATGCACATGTGAGGACGATTACTTATTTGAATTTATTGTAGCCCGGTGCACTACACTAACATTGAACAAAAACATTACTTGTGAGAGACAGACTTTCTCTACATGAACCGGGTGATTCTTTTCAATAAGGCATATTTATGTCTGTATTTAAATATAGTCTAATGAGAGGTATTTATCTTTATGAAAAATTAAATAGTTCCTAAAATGCTTCAACACCTCTGCACACAAGAGTGTAGACAGTTCCTTCAACTTTCTCAGATTCTTGTTCTTTAGAGAACCTGGAACATTAGAGCTCCCTGTGGACATGAAGGAGCTGTCATAAGGAAGAAGGATTTGCCTTGTCCATTGGTTTCCTAGAAGGAATTAGGACACATAAGTGTAAAGTTACAGGAAAACAGCCCAAAACTCAGGGAAAGGAGAAACATGCTAATAAACCTAAAAGTGGAATCAGCTTCTTCAGGAGGACTTGAATTCTGTCACTGGAGAAACACAAGTAGAAATGGGACCAACATTTTGTGAGATATTCATGACTTTTTGAATTATCATCTGTAAATTATATACTACTGAGTCTGTTGTTACAAATCACTGTAAACATAGTTACATGTGGCCCATATAATAAAAATTAGGAAATATGGCCAGGCGCAGTGGCTCACACCTGTAATCCCAGCACTTTGGGAGACCGAGGCGGGTGGGTTGCCTGAGCTCAGGAGTTCAAGACCAGCCTGGGCAACATGGTGAAACCCCGTCTCTACTAAAATACAAAAAAAAACAAAAAAAATTAACCAGGCATGGCGATGTGCACCTGTAGTCCCAGCTACTGGGGAGGCTGAGGCAGGAGTATTGCTTGAACCCGGGAGACAGAGGTTGCGTTCAGCCAAGATCGTGCCACTGCACTCCAGCCTGGCGACAGAGCGAGACTCTGTCTCCAGAAAAAGAAAAAAAATTAGGAAATATGTATTGAGATGAAATAGAAGGTATTATTTCAGACTTCCTTAAAAAGTCTTCTACAGAGAAGTAGGATATCCACATCATCTCCCTTCTAAGTTTTAAGAAGGCAAGAAAAACTATTATTAAATGTTCACTCTTTATTATTGCTAACATGTTAGTGTTAGGTCAAATCTGTGGTGATGGAATTGTATTTGTGTTTGCTGCACATGTATATTTTAGTATGTCGGTCTCCTTATACATTTTTGACCATCTTATGAAATTTGCAGTATGTATTTTTTACCTTAAATTATTATAATCTATGTTTGCTTTTTGTAAAGTATTATTCAGCATTATATGATTTATTTGTATAGTTTTTTAACTGAAAAGCTACAGCCCGCTTTATGACACTACACCTGGGAATAATTTGTCAGGAGCCCTTTTAGTATACAGCGAAGGCAAGTTTTTAGTATACAGCAAAGTTCAGCTGTTGGCTGGGCACTGTGGGAGGAGGTGAGAAAGTGTGACCCTCTGGGGCCCTGGATACAGCCTCTGATGCTGTTGAAGAAGGATGAAGAGGTGCTCAGGGCACCAACCATTACTTCTTACCCTTTTGTCAAGCTTGCATGCAAACTCTGGAGCAGGGTGAAGGGAGGACACAGTAAAGTCGACAAACAAGCATCGCGAATGCACAAAAGCCCTCTGTGCAAGTGCTGCTTTCCTGAGTGGTGTTTTAATACTGCATTAGTAAAAAATTTCCCTTCCACCTTTTAAAGTTAATGTGTCATGCAGAGCAAGCCTGGCTTTTTAACAAATATGCCTGTTTTCACTGGAAACTTTTCACATCTGGCACAAATAACGTGATCTGGCAGAAACAAAAAGATGTGTGAGCATGTCATAAGCAAAAATCTGGGCCAGCTTTTTTATTTTAATTTGTGAAAGGAACATTTCATTTCTTTGAATTTGGAGGCTCCTTCCAGCTGCCTTCTAATTTACTCCAGGCTGTAACGCAAAAAATTCTCCATCCCAGTTCTGTCTTAGGAAATATATTTGGCAGTTCCCTAGAGCACCTAGTTTCTACCCATTTAATGCTTTTCAGCAAATCTAGGGTCTATAGAGACCCAACTGAGAATACCTCCTTTATTCTAAAGCTGAGAAGTAAATGTCTTCTAAGTCTGTTCATGAAGTTATAAAGTTGTAATTATCCTGTTTTACAGCCATCAAAAAATATTTATTCACCACCAGCAACTTGTTTGAAATTAATTCAGAGCCATGTTTCAACCTCTAGGGCAGTGCCATCCAAAAGAAATATACTATGAACCTTAAATGTTATTTTAAATGTTCTAATAGCAACATTTTTAAAAAGTGAAAAGAAAAAGATGGAATTAATTTTAATAATATATTTTATTTAACCCAATATATCAAAAATACTATTTCAACATGAAATCAATATAAAAATTATTAATGAGATACTTTATATTTTAATATTTATTCTTCAATATGGGGTGCATATTTTATACTTATAGTACATCTCAGTTCAGACTAGGTATGTTTCAAATGCTCATTAGCCACATATGGTTAGTAGCTATCATGTTGAACATCACCGCTTTAGGGAAACTCTAATCAAATATCCCCTGTTGAAGGGCAAACATGACCAAGCATAAAAATGGCCAAGGTGTGCATGTTCTCACTCATAAGTGGGGAGATGAACAATAAGAACACATGGACATGGGGAGGGGAACAACACACACCGGGGCCAGTTGGAGGGTGGGGGCAAGGAGAGGGAGAGCATTAGGACAAATAGCTAATGCATGCAGGGCTTACAACCTAGATGACGTGTAGATAAGTGTAGCAAACCACCATGGCACCTGTATACCTATGTAACAAACCTACACATTTTGCACTTGTATCCCGGAACTTAAAATAATAAAGAAGAAAAGAAAGGAAAATAAAAGGACAATTAAACGTCAAAAAAATGGCTAAGATGTAAGGAAGGTGCGCAGTTTCAATCCCCTGCAGATGGCTAGCAAGTTATCCCAGCACCATTTATTGAATAAGGGAGTCCTTTCTCCATTGCTTGTTTTTGTCACCTTTGTCAATGATCAGATGGTTGTAGGTATGTGGCCCCATTTCTGGGCTCTCTGTTACATTGGTCTATGTACCTGTTTTTGTAACAGTACCATGCTGTTTTGGTTACTGTAGCCTTGTAGTATAGTTTGAAGTCAAGTAACATTATGCCTCCAGCTTTGTTCTTTTTGTTTAGGAGTGCCTTGGCTATTTGGGCTCTTTCTTGGTTCCATATAAATTTTAAAATAGTTTTTCCTAGTTCTTTGAAGAGTGTCATTGGTAGCTTGATAGGAATAGCATTAAATCTATAAATTGCCCCAGGCAGTATAGTCATTTTAATGATATTGATTCTTCATATCCATGAGCATGGAATGTTTTTCCATTTGTTTATGTCATCTCTGATTTCTTTGAGCACTGTTTTGTAGTTCTCCTTGTAAAGATTTTTTACCTCCCTGGTTAGCTCTATTCCTAGGTATTTTATTCTTTTTGTGGCAACTGTGAATGGGATTGCATTCCCGATTTGGCTCTCGGGGAGTGCTAGTGATTTTTGTTTGTTGATTTTGTATCCTGAGACTTCGCTGAAGTTGTTTATCAGCTTAAGAAGCTTTAGGGCTGAGACTGGGGTTTTCTAGATATAGAATAATGTCTTCTGCAAACAGGGATAGTTTGACTTTCTGTCTTCCTGTTTTGATGCACTTTATTTATTTCTCTTGCCTGATTGGTCTGCCCAGGACTTCCAATACTGTGTTGAATAGGAGTGGTGAGAGAGGACATCCTTGTCTTGTGCCAGTTTTCAAGGGGAATGCTTCCAGTGTTTGCCCATTCAGTATGATGTTTGCTGTGGTTTTGTCATAGATGGCTCTTATTATTTTGAGGTATGTTCCTCGAATACCTAGTTTATTGAGAGTTTTTAACAGAAAAGTTTAGCAGAGGTGTTGAATTTTATTGAAAGCCTTTTCTGCATCTATTGAGATGATCAAGTGGTTTTTGTCTTTAGTTCTATGTGATGAATCAGATTTATTGATTTGCAAATGTTGAACCAACCTTACATCCCAAGGATATAGCCTACTGGATCATGGTGGATAAGCCTTTTGATGTGTTGCTGGATTCTGTTTTCCAGTATTTTGTTGAGGATCAAAGACTTAACTGTAAAACCCAAAACTATAAAAACCCTGGAAGACAACCTACGCAATGCCATTCTGGACATAGGAATGGGCAAAGATTTCATGATGAAGATGCCAAAAGCCATTACAAAAAAAGCAAAAATTGATCAATGCAATCTAATTAAACTAACGAGCTTCTGCACGGCAAAAGAAACTATCAACAGAGTAAATAGGCAACCTACAGAATTGGAGAAAATTTAGCAAACTATTTGCATCTGACAAAAGTCTAACATCCAACATCTATAAGGAACTTAAACAAATTTACAAAAAAAAAAAAAAACCGTTAAAAAGTAGGCCAAAGACATGAACAGACTCTTTTGAAAAGAAGACAGACATGTGGCCAACAGGCATGTGAAAAAAAGCTAAAAATCACTGATCATTAGAGAAATACAAATAAAAAAAAAGCCACAGTGAGATACTATCTAACACTAGTCAGAATGGCTGTTATTAAAAAATAACAGATGCTGGGCTGGTGAGGTTGTGGAGAAAAAGGAAGGCTTATACACTGTTGGTGGGAGTTCAGCCATTGTGGAAAACAGTGTGAGGATTCCTCAAAGAACTTAAAACAGAAATACCATTTGACCCAGCAATTCCATTACTGGATATATACGCAAAGGTATATAAGTCATTCTACGTTAAAGACACATGCGTGTGTATGTTCAGTACAGCACTATTCATAATAGTGAAGACATGGAATCAACCTAAATGCTCATCAATGATAGACTGGATAAAGAAAATGTGGTACAGAAACACCATGGAACATTATGCAGCCGTAAAAAGAATAAGTTGATTTCTTTTGTGGGAACATGGATAGAGCTGGAGGTCATTATCCTTAGCCAACTAACGCAGGAACAGAAAACTAAATACCACATTTTGTCACTTATAAGTGGGAGCTAAATGATGAGAACACATGGACACATAAAGGGAAATAACAGACATGGTAGCCTACCAGAGGGTGGAAGGTGGGAGGAGGGAGAGGGTCGGGAAAAATAACTAATGGGTACTAGGATTAATACCTGAGTGACGAAATAATCTGTATAATAAACCCCCATGGCACGAGTTTATCTATATAACAAACTTGCACATGTATCCCGAATTTAAAAGTTAAAAGTAAATAAAAAAGATATGATTACCATCAGAAAAAAAATAAAATAAAATGTAAATATAATCTGGAAAACACAGGTATGGAAGGTTAATATGGCTCGAATCAAAGCACCGTAATTGTCTGCTGGTTTAACTCATCTTGATGAACATTTTTCTCCATTGTAAACACCAATTCTGTGTTTAGAATTGGAAACCAATTCTGTGTTTAGCTTAACAGTAACCCACAACACTTGGACCAACTCAATTCTGTGTTTAGAATTGGAAACCAAAAAACTCCTTAGAGCCTGCTGGACACGTTTTGTATGCCTCCTGGGTTTCATTGCAGAATTCTGAATGTTTGCTTGCCTGTGGGACTTATGGTGAGGTTTGATTTTCATATTTTTCCACTTACCTCCCTGCTTCTCTTACAAGTTCTGACAAATTGGGAAAACTCACAGAATGTTTTCTAAGCTAAACAAGAAGCAAGTACCAATTTTTAAATTCAACTTTTCACTTTGAGATAATTACAGTTTCACATACAGGTATAAGAAATAACATATAGATCTCTTGAATCCTTTGCCCAGTTTCCCCAATGGTAACATCTTGCAAAACTAGAATATAGTATCAGGACCAGGATGTTGTCATGAATATAGTCAGAATACAGAGCATTCCATTCACTACAAGGATCCTTCATGTTGCCCTTTTATAGCCACATTTACTTTGCTTCCACCCCAACCTTCTCATTAACTCCTGGCAACCACTAATCTGTTCTTCATTTTACAATTTTGTCATTCCAAGAATGGAGTCATACAATATGAAAACATTTGACACTGGCTGTTTTCACTCAACATAATTTCTCGGAGATTTATCTAGGTTGTGTTTATCAGTAGTTGGTTCATTTTTATTGTTCAGTAGTATTCCTTAGTCTGGATATACTACAGTTTGTTTAACTGTTTTTACCTGTTGAGGGACATCTGGGTTGTTTCCAGGTTTGGGTTATTGCAAATAAAATTGCTGTAAACATTTGTGTAGGCTTTTGTGTAAATATAATTTTTCGTTTCTCAGAGATAAATGCCCACGAGTGCAATTACTGTGTCATGTGGTAGTTGCATGTTTAGTTTTTTTTGGAAACTGCTGAGCTTTTCTATTTTTGATTCTCACTAACTGTGTATGAGTGATTCAGTTTCTCCACATCCCCTCCAGCATATGGTGTTGTCACTACTTTTTAATTTTAGCCATTCTGATGGGTTTGTAGTGATATCTCATTGTGGCTTTAATCTCAGTTGCCCTGTTGGTGAATCATGTTGAGCATCTTTTCATGTGCTTATTTGCCATCTTATGTCCTCTTTGGTTCATGTCCTGTGTCCATGTCCTAGATCACTTTTTTTTTACTTTGAATTTTGAGAGTTCTTTATATATTCTAGATACTATCCTGTCAGATATGTAGTTTGTAAATATTTTCTCCTACTCTGTATCTTGTCTTTTCATCCTCTTAACAGGGTCGTTCACAGAACAAAAGTGTTTAATTTTAATGAACTCTAATTTGTCAATTTTTGCTTATGTGGGTCATGCTTTTGGTGTCAAGTCTAATAACTCTGCCGAATCCTATATTCTGAAGATTTTCTCCCATAATGTGTCACTAAAAGTTTCACATTTTACATTTGTGTCTGCTTACATTTTGAGTTAACTTTTGTATGAAACTTAGGTCAAGCTTCTTTTTTTTTTTTTTTTTTTTTTTTTTGCCTGTGGATGTCCAATTGCTTCAGCAACGTTTTTTGAAAAAGCTATGTTTCCTCCATTGAATTGTTTTTGTGCCTTTCTCAAAAATCAGTCAGACATTATTTGTGTGGGTTTATATATGGGTTGTCTCTTCTGTCTTAATTATCTATGCGTCAGTCTCTGCCAACACTGCACAGTCTTGATTACTGTGGTTACATAGTCAGTCTTCAAATAAGCTAGGCTGATTCCTCTCAGTTTAGACTTCTCTTTCAAAAGTGTTTCAGCTATTCTGGTTCCTTTGCCTTTGCATATAATTTAAAAATAATCTTGTCTATATCTGCAAACATTAAGAAAAATTGATATCTTTACTATGTGGAGTTTTCTATTCTGTGAACCTGGTATATCTCTCCATTTATTTAGCTTTTCCTTGGTTTCTTTCATCATCTACACACATCATCTCATCTGTGTGTAGTTTTCAGCATACAAGTCCTATACATAAGTATTTCAGTTTTGAGCAATTATAATAAGTATTGTGTTTTTAATTTCAGGGTCTATTACTAGTATATGGAAGTATAGTTTTTTTGTTTTGTTTTTTTGAGATGAAGTTTCACTGTTGTTGCCCAGGCTGGAGTGTAATTGCATGATCTTGGCTCACTGCGGTCTCCGCCTCCTGGGTTCAAGCGATTCTCCAGCCTCAGCCTCCCAAGTAGCTAGGATTCAGGTGCCTGCCACCACACCTGGCTAATTTTTTTGTATTTTTAGTAGAGACAGGGTTTCACCATGTTGTATGTTTATCTCATACCCTGTGGCCTCGCTGAACTCACTTATTAGTTCTAGGAGTTTTTTGTAGATTGCTTGGGATTTTACATAGATAATCATGTCATCTGTAAATAAGGAACAGTTTTATTTATTCTTTTATGATATACATGCTTTTTGTCTCCTTCCTTTGTCTTATTGCACTGGCTAGAACTTCCAATACTATGTTGAATAAGAGAGGTGAGAACTGACATTCTTATCTTGTTCTCTGTCTTAGGGGAATGTTAGGTATAATGTTAGCTATAGCATTTTTGTAGATGTCCTGTTGTGGATGCCACCATACCTGGCCCTATATCATTATATTTGATATACATTTCTTCTAAATAACATATAGTTTGGTCATATTTTTAATCCACTTTATCAATCTTTGTCTTTATAATAACTGATATGTTAGGGCTTAAATCGGATATTTTATTTTTGTTTTCTGTTTGTTCTCTCTGGTTATTGTTTTTCTGTTTTCCTTTTCCTGCATTCCTGTGGGTTAATTTAACATTTTTAGAACTACATTTTGATTTATTTATAGTGTTTCTCGAGTGTCTCTTTGTATAGCTGTTTTGGTGGTTGTTCTAGGTATTATATATACATGTTTATCTATCTATCTAGTTACCTTTCTCTCTAGATCTTATTAAAGTCTATTGGTGTCATCATTTTACCAGTTTGAGTCAAGTATAGACATTTTACCTTCCTTTAAGTTCCTTTAACTTCTCCCATTTATAATATAATTGTCTTGGGCCTGGCGCAGTAGTTCACACCTGTAATCCCACACTTTGGGAGGCCATGGCGGGTGGATCATTTGAGGTCAGGAGTTTGAGACCAGCCTGGCCAACATGGTGAAACCCTGTTTCTACTAAAAATACAAAAATTAGCCGGGTATGGTGGCGTGTGCCTGTAACCCCAGCTATTCGGGAGGCTGAGGCACAAGAATTGCTTAAACCCAGGAGGCGGAGGTTGCAGTGAGCTGAGATCACGCCACTGCACTCCAGCCTGGGAGATAGAGTGAGACTCTGTCTCTAAATAAATAAACAATATAATTGTCTTAATTATTTTCTCTAAATACATTTAGAACAACATCAGGGTTATAATTTTTGCCTCCACCATCAAATATACTTTAGAAAATTTTAGAGAAGAAAGCAAACGAATTTTATTAGCTGTATTTTTGCTTATTGTGTTCTTTCTTCTTTCCTGATTTTCCAAGGTTTCTTCTTTTATCTTTTTCTTTCCATTTAGAGAACTTCCTTTAACATTTCCTTTAGGGTCTAAAAGTGACAAATTCTGTTTTGCTTCTTCTAAGAATGTCTTATTTCTTCTTTATTCCTGGAAGATATCCCCACTGGATATAAGTTTCTTTTCTTTCAGCACTAGAAAAATATTGTGCTGCTTCCTTCTGACATATATATATCCCTGCTATAGGTAAGGTGTCATTTTTCTCTGGTGCTTTCAAGATTTTTTTATGTCTATTTTTTCAGAAACTTAATCATGATGTGTGTTGGTATGGATTTCTAGGATTTATCCTGCTTGGGATTCACCCAGCTTCTTGAATCTTCAGGTTTAGGTCTCTTGCCAAATTTGGGATGTTTTCAACCATTGTTTCTTCAAACTTTTTCAGCCTTACTCTTTCTCTTCTTCCTGGAATCTGGTGATGTGAATGGTAAATCTTTTGTTATAATTCCACATGTTCCTATGATGCTGTTCTTTTTTTTTTTGTTTTTTTGAGTTTGTTTTCTCTCTTTGGTTTAGGGTGGGCTGTTTCTATTGTCCTATCTTCCAGTTCACTGATTTTTTTCCTCTGTCCCCTCTGTTCTGCTGTGGAACCCATTTACTGAGCTTTTTATTTGAACTGTTATATTTTTTACTTATAAAATACCCATTTGGTTTTTCTTTACATCTTCTATTTCTTTGCTGAGGCTTTCTATTTTTTCAATTGCTTCAGCTGTGTTTGTAACTGCTCACTGAAGCATTTTTATCATGGCTGCTTTAAAATTTTGTCAGAAATTCTAACATCTCTGTTATCTGGGTGTGTTAGTCCATTTTATAGTGCTATTAAGGAATACCTGAGACTGGGTGATTTATAAAGAAAAGAGGTTTTGTTTGGCCCATGGTTCTGCAGGCTGTACAAGCCTAATGCCAATGTCTATTTCTGGGGAGACCTCAGGAAGCTTACAATCATAGTGGAAGGTAAAGGGGGAGCCAGCACATCACGTGGCAACAGAGGGAACGAGAGATAAGGGGGGACATCCCAGACTCTTTTAAACAATCAGATCTCATGTGAACTCATTACTGAAGAGAAGGCATAAAACCATTTATGAGGGATATTCCCCCATGACCCTCCCACTAGGTTCCACCTTCATGTTTCAATATGCGATTTGGAGGAGACAAGCATCCAAACTATATCACGGTGTCTCTTTATTTTTTAAAAATTAATTTTGAATTGTTCCAGGTTTTTGGTATTATGGGTGATTTATAAAATTGAAACCTGAACAGTTTTATACTGTGAGACTCTGGACCTTTTTAAACCTTCTTGGCTTTCTTTGACACCATTCTGTCAGAGAAAGGAGTGGCATCACCTCATTACTGCTAGGCAGAGAGAGAAGTCCAGGTTCCCCTCCCAGCTTCCATCAGTACCTGAAGAGGATGATGCCCTCATACTGCCAGGTGGGATGAAAGTCCAGGCATCCCATTTGGACTGCACTAACAACCCATAAGATGGGTTGGGGGGACTTATTACTGGCCAGTGGGGAGGAAAGCCTCAGGTTTTTACTTGGCACTGTCTGATACCTTCCTGGCAGGGGAGCTGGGGCACCTCATTACAGTGCTTGCCAGGGTGGAAGCCTACGCTCCCCATCCTGCCTTTGCTGGTGTGAGGAGTGGTGGGGGCCAATGTTTTTTCTGTGGTGTTTGGCTGGAGTAAAGTGGTTATTCTCTAAAAGATTTTTGGCTTGCTAGGCTGCATCTTTCCTGATCCTTTGGTTAGAGAGATTATACTTTTGTTGGGGTGCTTTATGTTTTTGTTTTGTTTTGGTCTGTGCTCACTGACATTTCCAGGTTACTAGATTCTTCAGCTGCCGGGAAGAACCTCAGCAGCTGAGATATATGAGGCAAAAAGAAAACCTAGGAAACACACCACTAGGTTATTCTTTTGGACCTGAAGTCCCTAAATAGTCTGCCTTTTCTCTACCTTTCAGAGTCTTCTTATGTTTGTTTTATAGATAATGCCCAGGGTTATTAGTTGTACTTAACAGAAGGAATAGAGAAAAATATATCGATTCCATCCTTGTTAGAAGCAGAGGATATCAGACATACTTATTTTCTTAGTCTGTGTAGGCTGTCTGTAAGCCACAATGCAGAGCTCTCTGGGAAAACATGGATTGGAGAATGGGGTCTGGAGCCAAGGCTGAAGTAGAGTCTCCTCCATTCCAGATCTAGGACTTGGGACCCACACGCTCTAGTATGTGTACAAAGCACATAAAGTTAACAATTTAGATGAAGTAGACCAATTCCTCAAATCCCATGAACTATCAAAACTCACCGAAGATGAAGTAGATAACCTGAATAGTTCTACAACTATTGTTAGAAGTTGAATTCAAAGTTAAAAAGCTGCTGAAAAAAGAAATCTTCAGGCCCAGATGGTATTACTGGTAAATTCTACTAAACAGTTAGAGAAGAAGTAACACCAATTTTACATATCTATTCCAGAAATAGAGAAGGAGGAAACACTTGTCAACTCATTTTATGAGGCCAGAATCATCCTAATCCAAAACCAGACAAGAACAAACCATAGACCAATATAGATGCAAAAACCACCAGCAAAGTATTACCGAATAGAATCTGGCAGTATGTAAAAATAATCATACAGCATAATCAAGTAGGGTTTATCCCACAAATGCAAGCCTGATTCATGTCTATAACTCGATAATTAAAAATAAATTATTATAATCTGCCAAACTAACAGCAAAAACTGCATGAACATTAAAAAAATCACATGATCATATCAATTGATGCTTTGGCATTTGACAAAATTCAGCATCTGTTTATGATAGAAACTTTCAGCAAACTGGGAATACAAAGGAATTTACTCAACTTTATAGAGAGTATTTTTAAAAATCTAACATCATACTTAATGATGAAAGACTAAATGCTTTTCCCCCAAAACTGGAAATGAGGCAAGAATGTTCACCCTCACTATTCCAATTTATGATCATAGAAGAATTCCTAGGCAGTGCAGTAAAACAAGAGAAAAAAAGTGCATGTAGTTGGGGGAAAAAAGAAGTAAAACTGGGCCTGCTTGTAGATGACAATGTGATTGTATAGAAAATCCTAAGGAACGTATCAAACAAAACGAAACAACCCTCCCAGAACTAATAAGTGAGTTTAGCAAAGTCACAGGATACAAGGTCAGTACGTAACAATTTTATTTTTATATACAAGCAATGAACAATGGGGGAACTGAAAGTTTTAAAATACCATTTACAACAGTTTTTTTTAAGTACTACTCTACCAAAACACGTACAATATCCACATGCACTAAAAAGTAGAAAAAAGTGATATAATAAATCAAAGGAGACCTAAGTAAATATGTAGATTAGAAGACTAACAGATTAAAGATGTTAACCATCCTCAAATTGATCTGCAGACTTAAGGCAGTTCCAATCACAGTCCCAAAAGGACAATTTTGTAGATAAAGACAGACTGATCCTAAAATTTATATGGAAATACAAAAACACTAAAGTAGCCAAAACAATTTGAAAAAGAAGAAAGCTCAGTGAATCACACTACCTAATCTTAAGACTTACTCTAAACTACAGTAATCAGTGAGCAAAAGGCATGTAGATCTTTGGAGCAGAAGAGAGAGTCCAGGAATAGATTCATAGAAATATAGGCCAATTAATTTTTTACATAGGTGCAAAGGCAGTTCAATGGAAAAGGTTACATCTTTACAGTAAATGGTGTTGCAGCAATTGGACATAGATAGGCAAAAGAGGGACCCTTGATCTAAACCACACACCTCACACAAAATTTTAACTCTAAATGGATCATAGATCTAAATGTAAAAGGTAAAGCTGTAAACTTTTAGAAGAAAACATAGTGGAAAAATCATTTTCTGGGATTAGGTAAAATGTTCCTAAACATGCACCAAAAGCAAGGCTCATAAAAGAAAGAATTGACAGATTTCTCATGTGGCAAATGACTAGCGTCCTGAATATATGAAGGACTCTCTAAATCAAATAGTAAGAAAACAACCCAATTAAAAAATGGACAAAAGACTTTAACAGACATATCACCAAAGAGGTATAGAGATGGCAAATCAGTACATTGAAGGGGATCAACAGCAGTAGCCATTACAGAAATGCAAATTAAAACCATGATATCTCTGCACACTTAAAATGACTAAAATAAAATATGATACTAAGTGCTGATGGTTTGAGGAGCAACTGGAACTCTCATACACTGCTAGTAGGAATGCAAAATGTACAACCACTCTAGAAAACTGTCAGCTTCTTAATAAACATTTACCACTGACCCAACAATTCTACTCCTGCTATCTGCTTTAAAAAATGAAAACATGTCCACACAAAAACCCGTATACAAATACACAGAAACTCTATGAATAATCTCGCGATGGCTCACGCCTGTAATCCCAGCACTTTGGGAGGCCGAGGCAGGCAGATCACAAGGTCAGGAGTTCAAGACCAGCCTGGCCAATATGGTGAAACCCTGTCTCTACTAAAAAATACAAAAATTAGCCAGGCATGGTGATGGGCGCCTGTAGTCCCAGCTACTCAGAGGCTGAGGCAGGAGAATCGCTTGAACCCAGAAGGTGGAGGTTGCAGTGATCTGAGATGGCGCCACTGCACTCCAGCCTGGGCGACAGAGCCAGTCTGTCTCAAAAAATAAATAAATAAAATTTAAAAACTGGCAACAACCGAAATGTCCTTCAACAGGCAAATGGATAAACCAACTGATACATACTTACAATGGAATACTACTCAGCAATAAAAAGGAATGAACAGTCAATACACAGAACAATTTGGATGAAACTCAAAGGCATTAAACTGAATGAAAGAAGTTGGTCTCAAAACAATACATGCTATATGATTCTATTTACATGACATTCTGGAAAAGGCAAAACTATAGTGATGGAGAACCTATCAATGGTTGCCAGAAGTTAGGAGTGAGAGGAGCCTGTGACTAAAAAGGGGCAGCACCAGGGAGTTCTGTGGGAGATGGAACTGTTCTGTGTTCTTGACTGTGGTTATTCCAATCTATACATGTATTATAATTCAACTGTCTACTAAAGAAAAGGTCATTTTTAATGAATAAATAACAATAACAACACAGCAAATTGCTGCTGAACTGTCCCCACACTGAAATTGTGCTGAGAATTTTCTAGTTTACCTGTAAGCAGCTTCACTACCATACATTTAGCCAAGTTTCCATGACAGCAGGCAATTAGCATTCAGGAGGGCCTTTGAGTGGTTTGGCGGTAAGGCAGTTGCTCAGTTCAGCCATCTTTACCTTAGACATTAAGATATCCAAAATAAATGATTTTTCTGGGAAAATAAAATTTCTTTCTAAAATATTTCAATTTTAACTGTAAGCATTCCACAAGTATGTGGTTAGGCTGGTGTATATCAAATGAATTAACTCTTCCATTTAAAAATACATAGAGTAAAGCTTGTGAACAATCTCTGGCTTAGAGAGTGTTTTCACCAAACTATAAGACTGTGTTACACGTGGACATCAGATACCAGCTTAGCTCCTCCTTCTTTTGCTGCCTTTTCCTCCCCTATAGGAGGTTGTGGCTCACTGGATTGCTGAAAGCCGCATTGCCATTGAGAAGATCCGCTTGTTGACTCTGAAAGCTGCTCACAGCATGGACACTCTGGGCAGTGCTGGCGCTAAGAAAGAGGTGAGGCTACCTTCTCCCCTCAGACCACCAACTGCTGAGCCTTCTCCAGTTCTCTCACCTGTTGGACATTTCAGTTTTCATGGCATCTTGATGGCACTCAGAATATTGGAAGCCCCCATGTGATTTTGGGTTATAAATTATAAATGCCTGTCACTTGCTAGTCTCCTAGCAAGTGCTTTAGGGAATGATTTTCAGGAGGGAGAATATCTTCAGCATTCTTAAGATACAGCAACAAGGAATGGGGGAAATCATAGGCTTTACACAGCCCTGGAACTGCACCCACTCTGCCACTTTCTTCTAGCCTTGTGATCACGGGCAAAGTACTTAACTTTTCTGCCTAAGGCCTAGGGTTGTTGTGAAGAGTAACCAAGATGATGTACATAGAATGTGCAGAAGCCACGTACAGTGGCTCTCGCCTGTAATCCAAGCTACTTGGGAAGTGGAGGTGGGAGAATTGTTTGAGGCCAGGGATTCGAGACCAGCCTGGGCAACATAGTGAGACCCTGTCTCTTAAAAAAAAAATTAGCCGACATGGTAACTTGTACCTGTAGTCCCAGGGAGGCTGAGGCAGGGGGATTGCTTGAGCCCAGGATTCTGAGGCAGCAGTAGTGAGCTATGATCACACCTGGGAATAGCCACTCCACTCTATTCTGGGTGACAGAGTGAGAGCCTGTCTCAAATAACAAAACAAAAAATGCACAGCATGATACTGCTACATAGTAAATGTTTCATGAAAGAGACCTCTCATCCTTTGCTTTCTTATGTTTCTGGATTATATGAAATAAAGACATAATCATTTAATTCTAAAAGCCCATAAAACTGCTAAAAGAAACCTGATTAATAGCGCAAAGACCCTTGGACTATTTTTATGATCCCTAAGGTGATGAGTGTGATTTATCAGCTGCCTGAAATCCTTTTGGAAACAAGACAAGTTAGAAATAAATGGATAAAATGTGATTTGGAAGAGGTGTCTCTTTCCAGAGGGTCTGTATTGACTGAAATATGGCATTGCAGCAGGATCTCTTTGTTGGCTTTTGTTAAAGATCCTGTTTTAGTGGTGACTTGGATGTGGGAAAGTTTCCTTGTTTCATTTCCCAGTTTTGCCACATTGTGTATAGTCTAAGAAAGAAGCATTCTTTTCATATTTTGCTTATATAGATTGCAATGATCAAAGTGGCTGCCCCACGGGCTGTCAGCAAAATCGTTGACTGGGCCATCCAGGTGTGCGGAGGTGCTGGTGTTTCCCAGGATTACCCTCTGGCTAACATGTGAGTAGATGTCATTTAAGAATCATCTACGTTTGATAGGCGTGGAGGTAAAAAATCTACAGATGCCTTGACATTAATTGCTTATGTTTATTTTCAGTGTAATTGAAGGCTAAATGAAGTGATATACATTAATATAGAGCTCAACACCAAGAAATAGTTGCTCTTATTATTACAATAATCATTTCATTCCATTATGTTAATTTTTACACTGAGGGGTCCCACTGAGGATTCCTGGGCTGTAGATACAGCATGGGGTTTCGCTGAATTTGTAGCAGGACATGTCAGTGACTATCTAATATATAGATCCTGATGACTGGGAGGCAGAAAGGAACATTCTCCATTCCCCATCTGTCCATCTCCACACATAATTACAGTGTCACCTTCTCTATCACAATGGAGATAGAGTCTCATCCTTCATCAATTTTAAACCTTAAGAAAGAACTAAATATATAGTATCATACCAGTCACTGCCTGTTCTAAGTTCTAGCAACATGTAGTAAACTGTAGCAAACCAAGAATGAGATGAACTCCACTGTACTTTGGCATTTAACTTTCCCAAGTTGGAAACTTTAAGATGGCATTGCAGAAGCCCTTTAGCTTATTTTCCTGGTACCCTTTTTCTTACCCTGACCTTGGTGGAATTTAAGAATTAATATAGTCTTGGTTGACAATCAGAGTGACTGATGTCAAAGTATCATGTTCCTCTTCCATAACTCCCTGTGTTCCCTGATTCTTTTGCTTTTTCAGGTATGCTATAACCCGAGTTTTGCGTTTAGCAGATGGACCTGACGAAGTTCATCTTTCAGCAATCGCAACAATGGAGCTGCGGGACCAAGCCAAAAGACTGACAGCCAAGATATAAGGAGGGTGGCACTGCCACATCCCACTGGCAGAAACTCTCCTTTATACAAACTTCATTGGCTCCAACATTTGAATCTCATATTTTTGTAGCAGTTTGAGCACAGGGTTAATTATTCATTTGTGGTAAAGATTATAGCATCTATTTTGATCAGTGGGTTTTATTATTTCAAGGGTCACACAGGGTTAAGTTCAGTAAGAAATGCTGTAGCTGTTGTCATTCAATCTAGTGCCTCCTTGAGGCCAGGAGTTCAGGACCAGCCTGGGCAACATAGCGAGACCCCCATTGCTACAAAAAATTTAAAAATGAAACAAGTGTGGTGGCACATGCTTGTAGTCCTAGCTACTTGGGAGGCTGAGGCAGGAGGATTGCTTGAGTCTAGGAGTTTGAGGTTACAGTAAGCTGTGATCGTGACATGGCCTCCAGCCTGGGTGACCGAGTGAGACTGTTTCTAAAAATAAAAACAAAAAATAAATTTCTTCTTGAGGTGGGGTGGAGGTGGGGAGCAAGAATTTGACCTGGCTCTGATCCCTGGTGTGTTGTGTGGGCCTCTTTAACGTTTGCCACTGAGCCTTAACCTCACTGTACTTCACTGTACTTCACACGCATTGGTGTTAACATTTTAATCTTAGAAGACCCTGACCCACTGAGGGTTTGTTGTGAGAATTGCTGAAGCCACGTAGAAGCACCTTGAAATCTGTAAAACCACAAGAAAGTACTTTATAAAAGGTATCCTTATTTGAAGTGGATAAATCTTGTAACTCGAAAAGTTGTGATTTAGAAGACAGGATTGTTTTTGAACATTAGGAATTAAAGGCTATATCTGGTCCTTACAATTTTGTAATTTGTTTCTCTGTCTGAGGAAAGCTGGCTGGATTGGTTGCTGATTTGTTTTAGTTAATCTATTGTCATGTATCTGGCCATCCCTAAGGCAAGTCACTCCATATGATCTATACTTACCTCTCTCCCTTCCCTGAATTTAGTCAGATAAAATTATGTTAAAAAGAACACCAAGGATTGTTTTGAAAAGGAAAAAAGTCTCCAAAGGATAAAGTGAGAAGATCAGTTTCAGGATCAGGGCCCCAGTCCTGGTGAGAGAATGGACCAACGGTAAACTCCTCAGCATTGTGGCCATTTCTAGGGTTCTGTCTCCTTAGGCTGTCACTGGGAGTCACTAGGCAGCCGTTCATCTGGGACAGTCTGCTAGGTTTGCCATGTGCTTGAAACCACATGGTTTTAAAGAGAGAAACTGCCCTTTCTAATAATCAGATGGCAGGGAGGGAGCGGGGAGGAGAGAGCTCACCAGCCAGGGCTCTACCCATGAAAACCCCTCCAAGATTGCCAGGCGGTCAGCGACAGAGCCTCGAGGAGGGGGCCTTGAGACTGCCGGATAGGGAAGACACCATGAGGCTCCCTAGACTGGTCATGGTCTTTCTCCAGCAAAACATTTAGGGTGCACAGGGGGTAGCTATGATTGTCCAGGGGATGAGCTAGTTAAGGGTCTCTGGTAACTGACCTTTTTAACTATAAGAACACACAACAGAAAGTTCAGCGGATTATGGAGGACTGATTTCCTCATCAACCTGTGGTTATTGATAAAAGCTTCTTCAGGGTGGGTCCTGATCACCCCAGCTGTTTCCATACAACTGTGGTTCACTTAGGTGTCATGGGCATGCACACATTTTGTCCAAGGGAAATAAAGTAGGTGAAAAGCAGTTTAGATACTTTAATGGATACATTGGGCAGGGCTTGCCCAAAACTGCTTTTCTCCTTGATCTTGAGTGAAGCTACAACACAGTGTCGGGGAAGTTCAGAAGGCAGGCATTTTTTACTTAGGCTTTCTAAGGGCTTTAAATTCGTAACATTCTTAAATAAAGGATATAAAGTGCAGTGTATTTATGAAAATGTCTGCTATGAAAAATGTCTTATTTCAGTCAAGCCAGGCAGCCCCGCTTGGCTCCTCCCTTTCTCTGACACTAGATGATCCCTCCCCAAGGAGCAGAGGAAAGGGGAGGGGGGAAGACCTCCTGTTGACAGGCTGCTGTTTGTCTGTCACATGTCTTACTCCACCATTTATTTTGCCTGGATTACTCCAGTAGTCTCTTAACTGGAATTCTAATCTATTCTCACAGCAGCCAGGATGACCTCAAATGCTGCGGTGGCTTCCATCTCACCTAGAATAAATTCAGAGTCCTTGCTTTGGCTGACGAGGTTCCATCTGATCTTGTCCTCTGACACTTCTCTGATCTCATCCCCCTGGCTCACTCGCTCCAGCATAGCCTTCTGGCTGCTGTTCCAACATGCGAGCACAGCCATGCCTCTGGGCCGTGGTTCAGACTGTTTTCTCTGCCTGAAAGGATCTACACTGAGGTTTTCCAGATGTCTAGGTCAAAAGGCACATTATTAAAATGTCCTTTCTTGACCATTGCTTGAAACTAGCACCATGACTGGGCGTGGTGGCTCATGCCTGTAATCCCACACTTTGGGAGGCCGAGGCAGGTGGATGACCTGAGGTTAGGAGTTCGAGATCAGCCTGGCCAACATGGTGAAACCCCGTCTCTACTAAAAATACAAAAATTAGCTGGGCATGGTGGTGGATGCCTGTAATCCTAGCTGCTCAGGAGGCTGAGGCAGGAGAACCGCTTGAACCCAGGAGGCAGAGGTTGCAGTGAGCCAAGATTGCACCACTGCACTTCAGCATGGGTGACAGAGCGAGACTCCATCTCAAAAGAAAAAAATTAGCACCACGTGCATTGTTATTCTCCACCTGCTTATCTGCCTTTGTTTTCCCACAGCACTTATCACCTGACATATTTCATGTTTATTTGTGGTCTGCCTTCTCAAGTGCAAGGCCCATTTTTCCCTCCTCTGTTCACTTCTCTCACTTTTGTGTGTGTGTACTGGTGTCTCCTTGGCCCCTAGAACCATGCCTTACATCCAGTAGCCACTCACAAAGCATATGAATGAATGAATGAGTGTGCATGGATGCTCTCCTGATCCCTGGTTTGCAGCACAGCAAGCGGTGAGTGAGCAAAGCATTCATGTATAGGTCTGCCAACAGAACAGAGCCAAAGCCTGAGCCCCAGCCGGTCAACACAGAGGCTGGACAACAAGAAGGGGTTATGGGTAGCTGGAGAAAACCTAAGCCTGAGAAAGGACATCAGTGTCCTGGCAGTGGGGGTGCACAGCAGTTTGGGCAAGTCAGTTGATGGAACAGGTGTTTAATGAGTATTTAACAATCCAGGGAAATACGCATTTCATTTTTTTCTCCTGATGTCTAATCTAGTCTAATCAGCTGGAGGGCTGTGATCAGCTCTAGGTACAGAGGGAAGTCAGGATGCCTAAAAGAAACAAAACCACTTCTGGTGATTGTTGGAATTTTCCAATTTTCCAAAGAAGCAGGATTCTGGGAAGTGTCCTCCCTAATTCAAGACAGACAAAGAGCACTTAGGATTTATGATCCTGCCGTGATATTTTTATTTCTTTTTCTTTTCAGCACCTCTTTCTCATTGTGGTGATTATGAGTTTATTGTGAAGAAAACCCACGCCCATTCTAGTGTGAGAGTGTAGTTAGCATAAGCTCTGTGAAACAAGGGTTTCTCTCTGCCTTACCTTCACCCCCAAATTATGTGGCCAAGTAAAGTGTAACAGTTTATCCTGGAGAGGTGCATCACTCCTAGGACACCCTAAATAAGTACAGGTGAAATGGAGAGCAGTTGCTTGGATAGGATCTCCAGAAGGTATTTTCCCCAGTCTTCCTTCATCTGATGGCTAATCACCTCGATGAGGAGCCTTTTGTCTCATTTTCTTAAGTGGGTGCAGACACCCCCTCCCTCCAGCACCCTTACCTCTCTGACTTCAGTTTCTACTGCTCTGTTTCCTTACTCTCTCCACACAACACATTGGCCTTCTGCTGTTCCTCCAGTATCCCAGATATATTCCTACTTCAGGGTCTTTGCACTTGCCTTTCTGTTTGCCTAGAAAACTCTCCCCCCACTGCATGTCCTCAAGGCTTGCTCCTTTCCTGCAAATGTAACCTCCCAGGGATTCCTTCTGTAACCATCCCATCTAAATTTCTATACCCTCCCAACACACACACACAACGCTCTTTTTCCCTGCTTTGGTTTTCTTCTTAGAACTTTTCATCGTGTGACATACTATGTATTTTTCTCTTTTCTTTTGCATATTATCTCTTCCTCTCCCCCTGCTAGAAAGTATGTTTTAGCAGAGAAGGGTTCTTGTCTGTTTTGCTCGCTGCCGCATCCCTAGAAGCTGGAGCAATGCCCGGAGCATGCACAATAGGTCCTCAATAAATATTTGTTGAATGCGTGAATGCATGCCAGCTGCAGAAGGGCAGGGAACGCAGGATGTTTGATTAACCTCCATGTGAGAAGTGTAGTAGCATAGGCTCATGTTCCCTCACTTGCCATGCAGACACTTAAAAAGAAAACTTAGGGCCGGGTGCGGTGGCTCATGCCTGTAATCCCAGCACTATGGGAGGCCAAAGTGGGTGGATCACCTGAGGTCAGGAGTTTGAGACCAGCCTAGCCAACATGGCGAAACCCCCGTCTCTACTAAAAATACAAAAATTAGCCGGTGTAGTGGCGGGCGCCTGTAGTCCCAGCTACTCAGGAGACTGAGGCAGGAGAATCACTTGAACCCAGGAGGCAGAGGTTGCAGTGAGCCGAGATTGCGTCACTGCACTCTAGCCTGGGTGACAGAGTGAGACTGTCTCAAAAAAAACAAAAAACAAAAAACTTAAAGCAGTGGTTCTTACCCTGGCTGAGCATCAGAATCACCTGAGCAGCTTGCTATAGCTACAGCTGCCTCAGCCCCAGCCCTGGTGATTATTTAGTAATAACGAGGTTCACCTGGGATTCTAGTGAATTGATGGTCAGGGAAGAGAGAGCCTCGCTTCCTGACAAGTCTTGATTATGTCAGCGTTCTTGGCTGCAAACACTAGGAAAAGACTGGCTAATGTGAGCAAAAAGAAATCTGTTGCATTAGTGTGGGAAGGGAAGACTACGGAATTCTGGAATATCCCGCCAAGACACAGGCAGAGAAGGAAGCAGGTCTTTGCAGCTGGGACCAGAGCAGCCTGACCTGGCCGATGAGAGAGACACCCCTGCATTGGTGATCTCCATCTGACCTTGTCCACCAGATCTCTCTGCCCTTGCCTTGCTTTGGCTCTGAGGTGCACATGGTTGACAAAGCTCAGTCTGCAGGCCTGCCCTCTGTGCTGTGCAGGAAGAGGAGAGTGCTTCCAGTGCTACCAATAGAAATATAAGGTATGTATGTAATTTAAAATTTTACAGTGTCACATTAAAAACACATGAAATTAATTTTATTTAACCTAATATATCCAAATATTATCATTTCTACATGTAATCAATATAGGAAAAATTATCAGTAAGCTATTTTACACTTTTTCCCCAAAATCCCAATATATTTTATAGCACATTTCAACTTGGAAGCTAAAGTTTCAGTGGAAATACTTGATCTTCCAAAAGTTAACTGTATATAAGTAAGCTTCATAAAATGTACAGTTAAAAAAGTAGGTTCACATGCCCAACTTGTTCTAAACATACTTCACAGTTTTCAAAAAACTAAACTCAGTTTTTAAATTTAATTCATTTAAAGTTAAATGAAAAATTCAGGGCCAGGTGCAGTGGCTCACGCCTATAATCCCGGCACTTTGGGAGGCCGAGGTGGGCGGATCACCTGAGCCTAGGAATTTGAGACCAGCCTGGGCAACATGGCCAAACCCCATCTCTACAAAAAATACAAAAATTAGCCGGGTGTGGTTGTGCACGCCTATAGTCCCAGCTACTCAGGAGGCTGCAGTGGGAGCATCACCTGAGCCCAGGCGGCAGAGGTTGCAGTGAGCTGAGATAGTGCCACTGCACTCTGGCCTGGGTGACAGAGCCAGACTTTTTCTCAAAATAAATAATTTTTTTAAAAAAATTCAATCACATTAGCCCGATTTCAGTGCTCAGTAGTCATGTGTGGCTAGTGGCTACTGTATTGGGCCACTCAGCTGTAGCCCCTTGGTCCTCACAGTTTCAGAGGTCACCCTCTCACCAAACTCACACTCAGTGGGGAGAAAAAGACTTGGGACATTATTAGAAATAGAGATGGATGCTGAGCAGCCCCAAACAATTGTCCACTATGATAATTAAGGGAGCATAGTGTGAACCCCAAATACCTGAGACAAGTCTCAGTCAATTTAGAAAGTTTTGTTTTGTTTTGTCTTTTGCCAAGGTTAAGGACATGCCTGTGACACAGCCTCGGGAGGTCCTGACGACATGTGCCCAAGGTGGTTGGGGCACAGTTTGGTTTTATACATTTTAGGGGGACATGAGATATCAATCAATATATGTAAGATGTACATTGGTTCAGTCCGGAAAGGTGGGACAACTTGAAGCGGGGAGGGGGCTTCCAGGTTATAAATAGATAAGAAACAAATGGTTGCGTTCTTTTGAGTTTCTGGTTAGCCTTTCCAAAGTAAGCAATCAGATATGCACTTATCTCAATGAGCAGAGGGAAGACTTTGAATTCTGTCTGTCCTTTGTCCACAAGGAATTTTCCTGTGGACAAATTGTGAGGGAGGTACATAGCTTTTTTGTCTTAGTAGCTATCTTTTTAAGGAATAGAATGGGAAGCAGGTTTGCACTAAGCAAAAGTCTCAGCTTGACTTTCCCTTTTGGCTTAGTGATTTGGGGGTCCCAAAATTTATTTTCCATTCACAATAGTGATTTTATATATCTTGTTTGGTGAAGGAAAAAGTTGACTGTAGTCCATCTCCTGTATTTAAGGAAAGAAAAAACCTAGCATGAAAAGGAATTGCTAAGTGTTTCTAGTTTACCAACAATCCTGTGATATTGTAATCCCAGCTACTCGGGAGGCTGAGGCAGGAGAATCGTTTGAACCCAGGAGGCGGAGGTTGCAGTGAGCCAAGATCGTGCCACTGCACTCCAGCCCGGCAACAGAGTGAGACTCCATCTAAAAATAAATAAATAAATAAAAATGAAGATAATCTGAGGGAAAATTGTTATTTGTGCAGGCTGGTTAGGTTTTCTGACTGCCAAAAAAGGTTGGCTCCAATATATAGCAATACATAGGAATTGAAGTGTATGTGAACTCAAATCTCTTAAGATTACACAGTTGATTTATGAGCCAAAGACTCTTCCCAGCTCAGTGGGATTCAGAATGATCTTGTTGTGAGAAATGGAGAAAACATTTTTTATAAAATTCAAAACTGGACTGGGCACAATGGCTCACAGCTGTAATCCCAGCACTTCAGGAGGCTGACACAGGCAGATCGCTTGAGCCCAAGAGTTCAAGACCAGCCTGTGCAACATGGTGAAACCCCGTAGCTGTTAAAAACACAAAAAATTAGCCAGTTGTGGTGACACATGCCTGTAGTCCCACCTACTCAGGAGGCTGTGGTGGGAGGATCACCTGAGCCTTGGAAGTCGAGGCTGCAGTGAGCCACATGTGATCACATCACTGCACTCCAGCCTGGGCAAAAAGAGTGAGATCCTGTCTCCAAAAAAAAGAAAAAATTCAAAATGGTAATCATTATTCTTTCCCAAGCTACCCTCTGGAAAATTGTTCAGAATACGCTTTTTGGCTTTGGGGGAAATGGTCCTGAAAGGGCTTACTTGCTGCATTTCATTCAGTTTAGACCATCATAATCCCCATCTCTGTCCACAAAATGCCAAACAAACTTTCTATTATTAAGGAACTCAGCCATGATGTAAGGATGGAGGGATAGCCCGCTCATCAGATGTGGATGGCCCCTGTGTGGAAGAGTAACCTCCCCTTCTTGAGAGGAGCAAATGAGCTCCTTTCACAGCCTGCTCTCACATGTGGTCATGGCTGCTGGTTCTCAGGCTGATCAACACAGATCTGTTGACCTTGGCAGTTTACCTCCTCCACTGGTTGAAGTCAGATTCTAAATTCTAAATCCAGTAGAAACCTTTCTGCAAGAGGTCTTCTTCCAGCCCTCTAAGACAGCTGGACTAATTTAATCTTAAAGGAATAAATAATTTAGTGGGCAAATCCATAATATGTTGTGATCTTCACATGCTAAGGGAATTTTCTTTATTCTATTTTTAACTTTCCTTTTGCTGGCAAAGTTTGAGACAAACAACATCTAGAAGATAAGAAATGAGGAAGAAACAGCCACTCACAGTGTAATATTTTCCCAGATGTGGAGCACGTAGGCTGAGGGGCTTAAAATACTTCCTTCCTGTTCAGTGGTGTCTTTGCTCTCCAAACACTTCAGAGTGTATCAAATCAATAGGATTTCTTATTTATATCTAGTCGAAGCAACACAACACTAGATCAATTTGACTTGAAAGAACACCAGATTAATTTCAGAGGAGACAGAGAACACATGCAATTCTGAACAATTCAAGGAGTCCTTACAGATGCCTGTGGAGGATGCACAGGTGACAAGGTCCCTAGTGTCCTTGTCCTAAGGAGCAGATAGTTCATTCAACTGACAACTTACTTAATCTAATAACCCCACCCTTTCCTACTAGATAGGGCAGGATTTTTGTCAACCACAAAACCTTGAGAAAATAAGCTGGTTTTTACATAGAAAACAAAAGAGAAACACTGGCAAATTCTGTTTTATTTAAGAGCCATTGCCACTGAGGACAGTGTGCATGATGAGTCTGAAGCAACTTCAACAAAAGAGCCTAGAAGCAAGAAGTAGGAAAATACAATAGGTGGCATTTCTCTTTATTTGGGAACTCCAGTCCCACAGCCCCAAATGGCTGAGAAGCTGGCCTTCTGGAAATATTTTGAGGTCAGGGAAGACTGGCCTGAAACTGAAATTACTCATCATAATTTTGGAAACTAGCCCACACAGTACAGACTCAGACACAACCTGTGGCTTTCTTAATGTCAATTGGTAAAGGTTACTGTTTCCTGTTATGGAGAGATGATGCCAGACAAAGAAGGGGCCAGATCACAAAGGGCCTCACAATCCAAGATGAGGCATTGGACTTGGTCCTAAGAGCAGTGGAATCACTGATGGGCAGTAGAAATACTACTCCATGAAGAAGGGGTTGGATTCAGCCTATATCAGAAGCAGGAAGACCAGTCAGGATCCTGTTGCATTGACCCATGGAAGACATGTTAGAGGCCCACATGACAGTAGGTGTACCAGACATAGATTGTTAGAGATATTGAAGATGTAGAAGTAATAGAATACAGTAAATTAGAAGTAGTGTGGTAAGAGAGATGTGAGAGTCAAGTACAATGCTCATAGCACTGGCATGGCAATAGTGCATAATTTTTCTCGGCCCCTTCATTGAACTTGTGACAAGGGTGAACGTTTACTCCACTCACCATGCTCAACCCCTTGCAGGAAGGATCATGTGAGTGAGCAAGTGCAGGATCTGACTGGCCACTCCGGGCGCTGACCTAGGAACAAGCTCTAGGTGGGGCCTACAGCCAGACCAGGTGCAAGTGAGTGAGTGCAGGACCCAGCTGGTCACTCCAGACACCAGCGGGAGAAAGCTCCGTGCAGCGGTGCCCAGGTTGTAGGGGGCTGCCTGCGACCTTGAGGCCCCAGAGTGGGTATAACAATGCTCCTTTAGTTCTGCTGTCCATGGACGGCTGTGTATTAACAGCTCAGTTGGCCCCTTGCCTCCTTGCATGGGGTGGCTGCCCTCCACCGGCAAGGGCAAAGTTGACTCTAGTCCATCTCATGTATTAAACAAAAAAAATAAAATTCAAACCTAGCATGAAAAGGAATTGCTAAGAGCTTCTAGTTTACCAAAGATCCTGTAATACAGATATTGCTAAAGATCATTTGAAGGAAAATTGGTATTTGTGCAAGGTGTTTAGGTTTTCTGACTGCCAAAAAAGGTTGTCTCCAATGCATAGCAATACATAGGAATTGAAGTGTGTGTGAATTCAAATCTCTTGAGATTACATAGTTGATTTATGAGCCAAAGACTCTTCCCAATTCAGTGGGATTCAGAATGAACTTGTCATGGGAAATGGAGAAAACATTTTTTATAAAATTCAAAACCGGGCTGGGTGCAGTGGCTCACACCTGTAATCCCAGCACTTTAGGAGGCTGAGGCAGGCAGATTGCTTGAGCCCAGGAGTTCAAGACCAGCCTGGACAACATGGTGAAACCCTATATCTACTAAAAATATAAAAAATTAGCCAGTTGTGGTGGCACATGCCTGTAGTCCCAGCTACTCAGGAGGCTGCAGTGGGAGGATCACCTGAGCCTGGGAAGTCAAGGCTGCAGTGAGCTGTGATCACGTCACTGCACTCCAGCCTAGGTGACAGGAGTGAGATCCTGTCTCAAAAAAAAAAAAAAAATCAAACTGGTAATCATTATTCTTTCCCAAGCTACCCTCTGGAAAATTGTTCATAATAAGGTTTTTGGCTTCAGGGGAAATGGTCCCGGAAGGGCTTACTTGCTGCATTTCATTCAGTTTAGACCATTGTAACTCCCATCTCTGTCCACAAAAAGGCCAAACGAACTTTCTGCTGTTAAGGAACTCAGCCATGACGTAAGGCTGGAGGGATGGCCTGCTCATCAGATGTGGATGGTCCCTGTGCGGAAAAGTAAGCTCCCCTTCCCCCAGAGGAGCAAATGAGCTCCTTTCACAGCCTGCTTACACATGTGGTCATGGCTGCTGGTTCTCAGGCTGATCAACATAAACCTGTTGACCTTGGCAGTCTACTTCCTCCATTGGTGTGACAGACTTTTTGTGGGTCCCTGCAGTTTGGTGGGTCCCAAGCTCTTGTCCAGTGTCCAAGAAGAATGAAGTTGCATGAACACTTGAAGGATGGTGAAGGCAGACAATTTTATTAAGAGAGATGGAAATGGCTCTCAGCAGAGAGGGGGAGCTGAAGAGGGGATGGGATGGGCAGGTAGTCTTCCCCTGAAATCCAGCATCTCTTCCCCAAAGTCTGGCCAGCTCTTCTCTGAAGTCAGGCTGTCTCTCTGATGTCAAGCTGCCTCACTGAAGTGAAGCCACCTCACTAAAATCAAGCCACCTCTCTCTCCTCTACCAACTGAGTCTGGGGTCTTTATAGGCACAGGATGGAGGTGAGGCAGGCCATAGGTAGTTTTGGAAAGGCAACATTCAATTGGTTAAAAAAAAATTGTTTCTGAATTTTTTTTTAACCAATTTAATGTTGCCTTTTTTTCTATTATATTTACCACACATTGTTTGCATTGCATGTACAAAAGCTGCTAATTTTTGTTTCGGTTTTACTGATTTTTAATTTCTCCTTAATTTTTTTTATAGTTTAGTTTTTATTTTTAATCAAAGATATATATTTCAGAGTTCAACCATCAAATTACTGTCCAAAGCTAGTTATGAAAATCATCAGTGGTTCTTCCTCTCACCATCCCAACATGCTAATTTCTCATTCCCATGAGCAACGACTTAAAAACATTTAGTATAGCTGGGCCCCTATAGCTCTGTCAGAGGCATCCCAACCAGAGTGACTCTATCTTGAATAAAGGCTGGATAAAGCAAGACCTGATGCATTATATTCCCAGGAAGTTAGGCACTCTTAATCACAAGATGTTTATGGTTGAGGAAACAAGTTAGTGGAAAAAGGCATTCTTAGTTTAAAAAATATGTTTTCCTCTAAAGATAATAGTACACTCATAAATTCTTGCCAAGATCAGAAGTTACACAAGAGAATAACCATACTAACAGCCTGTCACAAGCCTTTATAATAAACTGCACTATAGGCCTAATATTCCTATATAAGCAAGCATTCTTGTTTAAATCCATTTATACCTAATGTTCCATTATTGGAACGCTAAGCATGCGAGAGTTATTTATATCCTACTGCTCAAGGTCATCACCAAGGTCTGATTGCAAAAATTCAAAAAATTGCAACCTGAGGCATAAATGGGTTAAGGTAGGCGCATTCTTCGTCTTGCTTTCTGAGGACACCCTACTCTGTCACAGAGTAGTTTCTAATAAACTATTTTAACTTTACTATGTGACTGGCCCTGAATTCTTTCCCATGCGAGATCTGAGAACCCACTCTTGGGCCCTGGGACAAAACCCCTTTTCTGGTAACAGTCCCAGCTACTCTGGAGGCTGAGGTGGAAGAATTGCTTGAGCCTAGTCTGCATAACATAATGAGACCCCACCTCAAAATTAAATAAATAAACAAAACAATTTAAGCTAACTGATAAGCATGGAGATCTACTTCCATGTCTTGAAATAATACAGTTATAATACTCTCACCTCTCAATGGTTTATTTTACTTAAATCTTCAGTTAGAGGAAGAATATAGTGAACACCTGTATATCCTTATCTAGATTCACACTTGCTTTCTCTCTCCTGTTTCTGAACTGAGTTAGCTGCAGATAGTATGTCACCTAACAATAATGACACGAGAATTTGACCTTGATGAAACATTACTGTCATATGTAGTCTAGTCATCTATTGATTTCTCAGTTTAGAAGATGTGCTATGATTATTTTGTTGCCCAGCTATTCCAAACTCTTCTCCCAGATACATCAATTTCTTTTCTCTCAATATGTTCAAATACATATATTGCCTATCAATTTCATCTTCTTGAAGAATTTGTTCCCAGAGCCTCTAACCTGTTCAAGTCTGGATGGGTAGTTGTCTAAGTTAGCTGCAACCTGTTGTCTTAATTTGAAATGGCTTTTCAATATCATTTGAAGAATTCCACCATTCTTTTGAAGAAAACCAAAGTATTTCACCCCCAAATATACTTCTTTGACATACCCTGTAAAGTCTGTTTTTTTTTTTTTTTTTTCTTTTAGACCAATTCTTGCCTGTTGCCCAGGCTGGAGTAGAGTGGCATGATCATAGCTCAAACTGCAGCCTCAAACTGCAGGCTCAAGTGATCCTCCACCTCAGCTTCCCGAGTAGCTGGGACCACAGGTACACGTTAATAAATTTGTATGCTTTCTCTCCTATTCATCTGCCTTATGTCAGCTGATTTTCAGTGAACCTTCAGAGGGTGACAGGCAAGTTTACATCTTGGCCCCCACACTTTTTTGGGTACCCCCTGCTTTAGTACAGAACATCTTTCTGGAGCTTCTTACAAAAGAATTAATGGGAGGTAAATTTGAGACCTTGTCTTAATTCTGTCCCCTCAATCAGTAGTTTCACTGGATGTAGAACCCTGGGTTGAGATTTTTGAAGGCATCACTCCCTTGTTTTCTTTCAGTGTTATTGAGCAATCCAGTGCTATTCTTATTCTTGTTCCTTTCTAAGAAATGGTTCCCTCTTCTCCTGCCACACCCTGGAGGGTTATAGGATCTTTTTGTTTTCATATGGTAAAATTTCACAATTATGTGTATTTGTAAGGGTTGACTTTCATTTATTGGGCTGGCACTCGGTGGCGTTGGTGTTACTGGAAAGAGGTCCTGATCCAGACCCCAAGAGACGGTTCTTGGATCTCACACAAGAAATAATTCAGGATAAATCCATAAAGTGAAAGCTAGTTTATTAGAGAAGAAACAAAAGAATGGCTACTCCATAGACAGAGTAGCCCTGAGGGCTGCTGGTTGGCTATTTTTTTTTTTTTTTTTTTTTTGAGACGTAGTCTTGCTCTGTGGCCCAGGCTGGAGTGCAGTGGCATGATCTTGGCTCACTGCAACCTCTACCGCCCAGGTTCAAGTGATGCTCCTGCCTTAGCCTCCTGAGTAGCTGGGATTACAGGTGCACACCACCACGCCCAGCTACTTTTTGTTTGTATTTTTAGTAGAGACGGGGTTTTGCCATCTTGGCCAGGCTAGTCTTGAACTCCTGACCTTGTGATCCACCCACCTCTGCCTCCCAAAGTACTGGGATTACAGGAATGAGCCACCGTGCCTGGCCAGCTATTTTTATAGTTATTTCTTGATCATACGCTAAACAAGGGGTGGATTATTCGTGAGTTTTCCAGAAAATTCCCTTTTTAGACAATATAGGGTAACTTCTGGATGTTGCCATGGTATTTGTAAACTGTCATGGTGCTGGTGGGAATGATTTGCGATGCTAATATATTATAGTGTATAATGAGCAGTGAGGACCACCAGAGGTCACTTTCATTGCCATCTTGGTTTTGGTGGGTTTTGGCGGCTTCTTTACTACATCCTGTTTATTAGCAGGGTCTTTATGACCTGTATCTGTGATACCAGTCCTGTTGTCCTCCTGTCTTATCCTGTGCCTGAGAATGCCTAACCTCCCGGGGGTGCAGCCCAGCAGGTCTCAGCCTTATATTACCCAGCCCCTATTCAAGGTGGAGTCACTCTGGTTCAAACACCTCTGACATTGGGACTCATAAAACAAACCCCAGAATGAAGGTCTCAGAAGCAGCCTCAGAACCAGAAGTTTTTCTGACCTTCTCCTACCTTCCTGTCGCTCAGTTCCATTCTCTCCCAAGGCTAGCCACAGAAACTAGAATCTCTCTTCCCCAAGGTGGGTCAGAAACCAGAACCTCTTTTCCCCAAAGCCAGCCATAAAACCTAAAGTTATTACCCTTTCCCTCCACCTTTCTATGTAAAAACTGGCCACAAAGAAATGATCTGACTTACCTTGTTGGACTATAGCTCAGAGGACCCCTATTCCAGAGAAAGACCCGCCCCATACCCAGAAGGAAGGACTGCATGCTCGGATAGGCCAAGAAGAGTCTAAACAGACCTTGCTGGGTTTCCCCATGCAGTCCCTTAGCATTTGATCTTACCCTTTTGTCCAATCATAAACACAGCCAATCAAAGTATGGCTGTCAATATTTTGTTGAACCTAAGCATCAAAGTGAACAATTTCCCCAGGATCTTTGGGCTTTCATTCTGAAGGCTCCTGTGTATACTCATTAAATAAATTTGTATGCCTTTTCTCCAATTATTCTGCATTTTGCAAGTTGATTTTTCAGCAGACCTTTCAGAGGGTGAAGGAGAAGTTCCTTTGGCCTCTTCAGTGGCATAGTCTTCCTTACTGGGAAAGTGCTTGAATTTTTTATTTTGTTCTCAGCCCCTTTTCAAAACTAGTATTTCTTTTGGGATCTAAATTTTTTAGATAATGGGCTCCCTGAACTGGGTCTCTTTTGTCTACTTTTCCATCTTACTCTGCTTCTTCACAAGATTTCCTCAACTTTCTCTGTCAATGTCTTCTATTGTTTTTCTTCTATTTTTATTAAAAAATTTTTAAGACCTGATTTTCTGTGGAAAAAAATTTTTTTTCAAAGTGGCATCCTGTTTTGTAGATGCAATGCTTATCTCTGAGGGTATGGTTATACAGCTTTCTTTTCCAATGCTTTCTTCTTCCTAGTGTCCTCCAAAATTTCCTTTTTTTCTTCCTGTTTTGGCCTCTTTTCTGCTTCTACTGTCATACCTGGAGGCATACACCTGTCAGCATTCACACTAAGGGCTGCCTTCAAAGGCTCTCCACAATGCTCAGTTGCTTTAGGCAAGTCCCTGCCACTGGAAGGGTGTGCTATCATCCAGCTGTTGTATCAGTTGATAAAGTTTTCTGCTCCAAACTCTAGATTTGCTTACTCTGAATTCACCTTGATCATTTTAGGGCTGACAGGATTGTCCTCAGGTCAGCTCTTACCTTTAAAGCTGGGAAAAATGTTCCACTTCCTGCTTTGGAATGCTGGGAAACCTGATACATACATACGAAAGGCTATTTTGAGTTGTGTAAAATACTAAAATGTGAGATTGAGGTTTGAGCTTAAGTAAGTGAAATGACTTTCCTGAACTTATGCATAGCTAAATATTTGTAGAATTACTTCCATATGACCTTTCCTTTTGAAGACAAATGACTCATTCTTTCATTGACTCAAGCCACATCTTCGTAAACTTTTCCCTGAAGTAGAGACTGAGGGCATGAGGTTCCTCTTTTCCTGCTCACAGACATTGGTTAGGGGTCAGGGAATGAGGCCAATGTTCTTTGTAGACCTTAGGTTTTTTTTATCTACTGCCATTGGACAATAGCTGAAAACTCTTCATACATAACTGCATAACTTATAAACCATATTCCTTTTCAATGTTAAAAAATTTAAGCACGAACATTCTTATTTGTGTAAATAACAGAGTTTTCATGAACAGCTCTGGGTCTTTCTCTTCTCTTACAAAGTTATTTCCTTAAATTGGGGATTTGTAAAAATGATGGAAATGTACAGATCTTCTTTCATAAGCTTGATGGCAAAACAAACGTTTTAAACTGGCCACCCTATTTCCTGTATTCTTGGGGCCCTGGAACCCACAGTAACCTCACCCACCTTTTACTCCTTAAGTTTAGAAATTAGTGGTCAATAATCCAGATGTGAAGTTCTTTGCTTTAAATGCTAAATAACATATTAAACAACACATGTAGTAACAACTAGTAATGGGAAAGCATTGATGACAGGAGAAATGCCTGAAGTTTCCACTACAATAGAGGAGTTAAATAATTTATTTCACAAAAAATCATCTATGGGAAACAATAATTCTGGGAAGTGATCTAGTTCTGAGGTTTTTAACTGGGGCGAGAATGGGACTGAGTTTTCGGATATTTTTAAAATATGCGCTTTTGGGCATTTTTGCATAAAGGTTTTACACGTATTTCAACAGATTCTTAACATCTTACCAAAGTAAGATTTCCTGACCAGATCAGGCATTTTATAGATGAAATTAACGCCCAATGTCAGAAACCTAAGCAGGGCAGAATCTGCCTGACAAGCCAGTGTTCTTCCTTGACACAGCATCACCAAGCCCAGCTCCTCATTCCTAGACGCTCCTGTCTACAAGGTTGACACCCTATTAGGTGTTTACATCTATTATTCCTGATCTCCCGAACATCCCCACAAAGGAGACATTAATGACCCCCACTTATTGGTGACAGCTCCAAGGTCACTTGGTGGAGGCCAGAACCACAGCCCAGGTGGCCCCAACTCGGTCCATACCAGCTCCAAGATACCTTACTTCCATTCTCCTGCCCTAATTTAAACAGACTGGGTGACACAAGTTAATGAGTTAAACACTGAATTCAACCAAAATCCACACAAACATTTGGGGTTAATATGAGGATGGAATCAATATCTTGGGCATCCAGCAGTGATTCTGATTTAGAATCAACACCTTGGGCATCCAGGCGTGATTTCTGATATAACTTGGATACTCAAAACTTAACATGTACTCAAAAACAAACAAACAAAAAACTGGAAACACTCCCAGGAGCCAGGCAGTCACCTAGTTCTAACTTAGTGGGCATTCCAAGTTTTGGTGTGTGCTGTGGGCCAGCCTTAGGGGTCTGCCTCCCCAGCTTCAGGACAGGCTGTCAGTTGTTTCTGAAGGTGCTTGAGCTGAATTTATACCAAGTCCCATCAAGGCTGAGGTGGCTCTGGCTCTAACCAGCCCTTTGTCCTACCAATCTATGAGCAAACTCTCTTCTTGCTACTGGTGCTCCAGCGAACACTATGTATTAGTCTGCTTGGACTGTCATAACAAAATACCATAGACTGGTGGCTTAAACAACAAATTTATTTCTCACAGTTCTGGAGGCTGGGAAGTTTAAGATCAATGTGCCAGCAAGTTAGCTTTCATTCTGAGGCCTCTTCTCTTGGCTTGTACGTGGCTCCCAGTGTGCTTACGTGACCTCTTGGTGCAGAATGTCAGGTGTTGGGAAAGGAGGTAGTGGGGGAATTTGGGGGTACAGGTAGGCTCTCTGGTGTCTAAGGTATTATCCCCATTATGAGGGCACTACCTTCATGACCTCATCTAACACTAATTAATTACCTCCCTGAGGCCCCATCTCCAAATACCACTGGGGGTTAGGGTCTCACCCTATGAATTTTGGGGGAAGATACAACCATTTAGTCCCTAATGACTAACTTCCCCGAAGTCCTTGTCCTCCCCTCTCCCATCACAAAAGTGGCATGAGCACACATGTGACCATGCAACTACATATTGCAAAAGGAGTTCAGTCTTTTAAAAGAATACCTAATTAATAACTCATTGGACAGAAAGCACATACATCCAATTCCTCATAACCACTGGTTTTTATCTTATTGCAAGGGGAATGAATTTGATTTTTTTGGCCTTATAACACCCCTATTTAATTCTCATAACACCCCTTTGAGGAATGGGCTCAGAATGAACCTTATAGATAAGGAAACAAAGAAGTCTGCCTTCCTTGGTCACACTGCTACTGGCCAGTAAAAGGAGGGCCATGCCTTCCCAAAAACTCAAGGAGGCGGTGAAATTCCTAGTCAGAGTAGGTTGCAAGAAAGTTTATCTGCAACTTTTTTTTCACAGTGCTCTTCTCAAAATCCTAATAAAGCTTATTTACACGATATTCATCATATAATGAACAATTTAAGCATGAGAAGGATCACAGAAGTTCTAGACTGAAAGGGATTCTTGAGCTGAGCATCTGGTGATGATCCTCAGTGGACGGACGAGGGTCCGGCATGGTCTCTTGCCCATTTCCAGTGTTCTGCCTCTGCACTGCTCCTTAGATGGACTGTGGGTTACTAGAGTGTATCTCTGAGTTTTGCTACCTCTAAACAGCCCCTCTCCCAACAAACGCACCAAAGTGATCATTCCACACTGCTGTTTATTTTAAAATACAGATCTCATTCCTGAATCACTATTAGGTTTGATGTTAATGCGTCAGCTTGGCACTTAGGACACCGTCCAGCTGGCTCCTCCCTGGGTCTCAGGCTGGGTTCTCTCTGGACCCTTATCCCCCAGCCATACCAGACAACCCCCACCCCTCCAGGTGTCCTATATATACTTTCCTGTTACCCTGCTCAAGCTGTCTTTTATAACTCAGGACTGAGGCAAACGACTTCATGCTTAAATCTCAGATAAAGCCTCCACCCTCAAAGATCAAAACTCAGCTTTCCCCATCACAGACACTTGCCTGACATTGCTGTTGTCTTCATATTATGGCTCAGAATACAGACCTCAGTGTCACATAAGAGTTTTGATTTCTTACTCTGTTACTTACTAGTTGTGTGACTTTTAGTAAGCTGCTTTACTTATCTGAACCTCATGTTCTTCACCTGGAAGATGGGAATTATATCAGTACCAGGCCAACAGGTTTGCTCTGAGGATTAACTGGCCCACAGGTTCGTTCTGAGGATTAAATGAGATTATGCAATACTTAGCAGACAGTAAATATTCAATAAAGGTTAAGTATTGTTGGCATCTAAACATCAATGATCGTAGACTAATTTAACGGGCCTTTAACTATTGTATTCACAATACTTATATTCTTAGTATTTAAAAGAAAACATTGCTATGTTGATTTATGCTCTCCTAAATACCTAATCCCAATTTAGCTGTTATAATTTTTTAGTGAACACATTTTTATACCCAACTATTGTCTAGAAACTAAAACCCTAGTTACATATTAAAATACTTCCATTAACATATTACTCTATAATCTGTTAGAGATGATAAACTTGATGCAGAAGTTTGAATTAGTGATTTGGAATAGGAGTAAGTTTCCATTTTGGCTGTTCTTACACATCAACTGTGGAATAAACTTGGTTCTTGCTTTGAAAGGAAACTTGGAAGTGTGGGTATTTCCCCATTCTTTAAGAACTGTTTGTTTATATTCTCCATGTTTATATTTTCTTGTAGTTTGTGGTCACACTAGAAAATCTATGTGCTGAGATTTGTTACTTGAAAAATCTTCTGGCTATTTAATTTTCTCTTCTTAAAAATAGTAGAATTAATGTCACATATTATTAACAGCCTGACCCATTCCTGAATGTTGTATGAAAAATAAATGAGATGCTGTGTCTGGAAACTTAGATGTGGCTGAAATATTAAAGTTAGGAATGATTAGATTATGTTAATGCAGCCATCTATATGAAGAGTTACGAATGTAAGATAACGTCTGTTTAATACTACATCTGTCTTAGAAATAAAGATAGATATATGAGGTCTTCAAACGGAAAGATTAAACTAGAACAAATATATCTCATTAACAAAGCAGTCAATTCCCTTTATTTTTAAAATTTTATGTACACATATGAATGATCTGTATAATGTACATTCAATATAGAAAGCTTTATATATTTGATAGTGTATAGAACATTTCACAATTACACTCATCTTTTACATAACATCTTGACATCCATTTTTAAATTTTTTTGCACAAGCTCCTTTTCATTCAATTTGGTAAAGCCAGTTATACATACTAATGTGTACTGTGAGCTTTCAGAAGGTTAATGATTGAGGATGCCAGTGAAGGGTGCAGGGACAAAACCTAATAGTCTTGGATGGTGGGGGGAGGATGGCCACGCAGACTTGATGCAGGAGAGGGAAATATTCTTTCCTGGGGAAAAGTGACTTAGCCCAATTTTTGTTGACTGTAGCTCAACCCTACAGTCATGCTAGTTCAAAAAAAAAATTACAAAAACTAGGAAGAAAGTTTTGTCTTTTTGATTCACAGTTTTGTAAACAGATATAAAGGAACAAATGTGCTTACATACACCAAGAAAAAAAAAATTCTTGTGTACCCACTTATGTTGATCCACAGAGTGCTTTCTTATAATGTGATACAATTAGGATCACTGACTTTTTTTCCTAAAAATATATTTATAGAAAAAGGAATAACACTGTCATGAAACCAGGAGAAAGGCAGTAAGAGTTTGCTTCAACGTATCAGCTGGAGGAATGTGGACTTGGCACTGGCCTTTCAGCGTTTATTGTCTCTCGTGAATATTTCAAGTCTGATAGCCAAGGTCGCCTGCCTCATGGTCTACAGGAGGTGGCAGGTTAGACATGACTGATGTAGATGTACCTGCGGTAAGGTAGCCAGCAACTCCAGGTCCTGCAAGAGAGAAAGGTAAACACACACCTCTAGAAAGCAGTCAAGTGAAAACATTGACCTTTATAAAAATGTCAGAACCTGCTCAGGCACTCCATCACACAAAACTAATCATCTATTTCAATTACCTAAATTACATCTATACCTTAATAAACAGCTACATAGTACTATTTTCATGTTTGCCTACACTATAGACTAGAAATCATTTCAAAATGTATGCTGGACAGTAACACTGGTGTGGAAATATGGATAAAATTTTCTTTCTTACATTTGGGAAATTCAATCTTTCAAAAAATTCCGAGCACTGAAAAGAACTATGTCGAATGGAAAAAATGGAAACAGACAGACAAAAGAAACTCTACACTCAGCTCATCCAAAAGTCATATGTGACAAAATTCAACATAAACACTTCTGTCAACACTCAAACTAACCTATTTTCATTTGGTGCAAAGAAATGCTATTATAACAAGTAACACCAAACGAACAAGGGTTGCTAAACCAAGGACTCTGAAAAAGAAAAGGCTCTGGACATCCATCTGTCATAGGTTAAAACAAGAATGCTATGTGAAAGGGTACTGATATTTTAGTCTTATATTTCTCCCTTGATTCTAACAGTTTCTATTGCATGAAAATGCCATATATGCCAGCATTTATCGAGATGTGTCCTATGGGCATATTAATGGCTTTAGCCCTCTAGAGTTTATTTTAAACATTGCATAAACATTTAATTACATCTCAGAAGCACTGCACAAACTAACAAGTACTTGCAAGGGACACTGTAGCATAATACTGCATACTGAGCAATAGTTTTAGCTGAAATTGTAGGAAACAAGGCAAACAACTAAGGAACATTGAGGGTTAGGACTAGAAAGGCAGTGGGAGCGGCATGCATTTAGCAAAACATTTCTCTACCTGCTTCAGAGAGCTACACAGAAGTTAGCAAGCTGCCTGGCAGAGCGGATCTAAAGCCCGCTCCTGAGGTGAAGGGGGCTGCTGCCAGTTAGAAGGGAAGGAGAGACACCTGAGGGGAAAAAAGAAATATAAGCAGCAAGGGAAGTTGTGAGGAAGTGCAAACAGCAGAGTAGTTTGATGAAGGTAGAAACAGGGATTGGTGGAGGACAAAAAGGCCACCATTCAGATTCATCTTGTTTTTGACCTTAAAAGTATTGGTACTATGGATGTGAAATGGCTTGTATAGATACATAGGCAGAGATGACTCAGCCTGTGTGAGCTGTAACTGAAGCCAACCAGAGTGCCCAGGTACTTGGAACGCTGTACTTATAAAAACCTTGTACTTGTAGAACTTACAAAAAATATTTCTCCTTTTTAAGGTACTGTGGGAGCCTGCATCTATCAACTCCTGCCTTGAGCCAATCAGGATGCCAGGCCTTTCACAGTCTGCTCAGGAAAAAGGCCACCAGGTCAACAAACCCTTCTGACAACGCAGTTCAGAGCTACAGCAGCACCCTGTGATCATTTCCCACCACCCTCATATTCTCTGAACTTTAGGCTGCAGCATGATTACTGCAAAACCATCCAGTAGGTGTCATCAAAGATGTAACCCTTAACAGTAAGACCTCAAACACTCCAGACTGTGTAGTTTCTGAGCAATTCTGATTGTGGGCTCAACTTGGTTCCCATCAAAATAGTAGGTTACAAGACCAAACCATGAATGCTGCATCTAGAAAGTGGATTAATGACGCAGTTCTCAAACTGTGTGCTGAGGCACCCTGGGGCATTGCTGGATATTTATTTATTCCCTTTGCCCCTCTGTGTGTGTGTGTATTTAACAGATGGGGGTCTCACTATGTTGCCTTGAACTCCTGGGCTCAAGCAACTCCCCTATCCAGGCCTTGAACTCCTAGGCTCAAGTGATCTTCCCACCCCAGCCTACTGAGTAGCGGATTCGGCCTGTCCATGTGGACTACAGTTGCCTGCCACATCATCCAGCTAACTGCTGGGTATTTTAAATTTGAAACACAGCGCCATCTGCTGACCACCATACAAACAACTACTTTCAAGTTGTCTTGCAATTACTTCATAAACTAAATTATTAGGTATTTCTTTTGGCTTGGGGACGGATGAAAAAATTACTGAGCTATTAAGGGCACTGTGAACTGAGAAAATGTGGGAACCTCTGAGCTAAAATCTAAATGGTGAAATGATGGGCTTAGAAGGAAGAAACCAAATTTTAGTACCATCATTTGCCTCTTTAGGAAAGGCAAATCAAAATCAATTCCCGGATAGTTCTACAAATGAAATCCGAGATGCTCTCCCCAGGACCCTGGCCTCTCCTTGAGGATGTGTCTGGTTTCTTGGGGCTAAAAGGTGCTGCCTGGTCATTTGCACAGAATAGGGCAGTTGTGTTCTTCAGAGAAAGATGGGAAGAGCAGGGGCTGCCAGGAATGGGCATGTGGCAAGATTGCACAAGGCTGCTGGACTTCAGAGAAATGAGAAAAGATGGAAAATTTACAGAGAATCCCACAAAACTGAATTGGCTACCACGATGAAATGTATATGTGAAAAGTTCATCTCCAATTCTGGCTCCTAGAAGCATCTTCACCCTGGCCTCTGTTCCTTTTCCTGTTGTTCCTTCTTTTGCTACTGATTTTCTAGGTTAGGTAATTTGAGGATTTTCACTGCTGAAATTATTTTTTATGAGGCTCTGAGACCATCAGCACCAAGCTGTTCTAGAACCTAATAAATGGCTAAGTGATCAAGGGCCCTGGATAATGAGTAACCACAATTTATCTGCATCACAGGAAAAATTCCACTGAGGCACCTTTAAATAAGCATTTATCATAAAACAAAATATGCCAGGCTAGAGAACCTATGGAAATAGGCAGTCTCATTTAAATTTATCAAGATTGAGTAATCCTACCTAGGACTTTAAAATTTTTACCCCAAATCTTGGGCATGTGACTGAATGACATTTACTCAGCAGCCAGAGAGAAGAAAACGTAGTTTTGGTCATTTTTATCTTACTTTGAAGTAGTAATTAACTCCTTTGTCTTTCCCCATGTCCTAAACAAAATCCACCTAACCTGCCAAACTCACCTAAAGATATCAGTTAGAAGAAAGGGTTGGTGATGTGTGTTGTCACAGCAACCTTGATTTCAATGATTACAGAGGGGCTGGGTACAATCTGTATCTTCTGAAGTTTGGGAGTAGCACGGGGCACATTTTAACTAAATGAAATTCCAATTCAACACAACACTATAAATTCCTGGAGTTCCACATCATGGGATTTTATCATTATTAGAACTACATGCCCCTTTTATCAAACACATGATACACAATACATCAATGAAAAGCTCAAACACAAAAAACATTTGGCAACTCAAGCAATGAGCACACATCAATCCAACTGGCAGTAAATTTACCTAATTTATCTCTTAATTTGCCTACATCATCTGTAGTTAGAGGATGTAGGGCTGACATCTTATATACTACAATTTCAGGCAGACAGCAAGAGTTAGAAGCTTTAATTCTTGAAATAGTTCTTTCATTTTTAATGTAACTTAATTTTTTTTGAGACAAGGTCTTGCTCTATTGCCCAGGCTGGAGTGTGGTGGTGAGAGCTCAGCTCACCTGTGACCTCCACCTCCTAGGCTCAAGAGAGCCTCCCGAGTAGGTGGGACTACAGGCATGCACCAACATGCCTGGCTAAATTTTTGTATTTTTTTATAGAGACGGGGTCTTGCCGTGTTGCCCACGCTGGTCTGGAACTCCTGGACTCAAGCAGTCCGCCCACCTTGGCCTCCAAAATTGCTGGGATTACAGACATGAGCCATTGCACCTGGCAAGTTGGTCCTTTCAAATAGGACAGACTAGAGCTGATGAAAAAATTTCCAGCAACTGACATCGCTAAAAAAGAGCATCCCAGATTGATAACATGCTCAGAATTTCACAATTCTGGGGTCAACAATGCTTACAGCTTATCCAGACTGTTCTACATGGACACGTCTGCAGGCTTCAGTAATGGCCTTCTGGAAGACTCATTATCTCCATGCCCCTTCCTGGTTGGGTTTTATACCATCTCCCCATTTGGCCAGACCTGTACAGAACTTGCTGTCCCTTAAGCCGGCTCAGGGATGGGAAGAAATTTGTATACCCCAACTTTTCTTTTTCCCTAACCTTCTTCTAACCCCTTCACAGCCACTTTTCATATCTCATTCAGAAGCCACCGCATGGATCCAAGTAAAAGGAAAGGCACAGACAAGAAGCTTTTTACTGCCTATACCTTTTCCCTATAGTTACTAAAGCATGTGGATGGGGGTGAGGACCAAATGAAGTCCAGGTTTCTGAAGATAAACCCCTATTTCTTCTGGATTCTAACCACAGACCTTTTGGTTCACACTCTGTAAGTCAAGGACATATGTTTTTTATTTCATCAAGTTAAGTCAAAGAATGATAGATAAGACTGAACAGAAGAATTAGAAGAGGCTTTCCTGTAGAGAAGCTTATAATATACACATTACTATTCTTCAGGGCCAATTTACTCTTAGTTAAGAAAAATAAGGCTGACCAGGTGCAGTGGCTCACACCTGTAATCCCAGGACTTTGGGAGTACCAGGCGGGTGGATCATTTGAGGCGGGTGGATCATTTGAGGTCAGGAGTCCGAGACCAGCCTGGCCAACACAGCAAAACCCCGTCTCTACTAAAAATACAAAAATTAGCTGGGAATGGTGGTGCACACCTGTAATCTCAGCTACTTGTGAGGCTAAGGCAGGAGAATCGTTTGAACCCGGGAGGCAAAGGTTGCGGTGAGCTGAGCTCATGCTGTAGTACTCCAGCCTGGGCAACAGACCAAGACTCTGTCTCAAAAAAAAAAAAAAAAAAAAGAGGGCGGGCATGCTGGCTCACGCCTGTAATCCCAATGCTTTGGGAAGCCGAAGTGGGCAGATCACCTGAAGTCAGGAGTTTGAGACCAGCCTCTACTAAAAATACAAAAATTAGCTGGGCATGGTGGTACATGCCTATCATCCCAAGTACTTGGGAAGCTGAGGCAGGAGAATGGCTTGAACCTGGGAGGCAGAGGTTGCAGTGAGCCAAGATTGCACCATTGCACTCCAGCCTGGGTGACAGAGCCAGACTCCGTCGCAAAAAAAAAAAAAAAAGCCAGGTGTGGTGTCTCACGCCTGTAATCCCAGCACTTTGGGAGGCCGAGGTGGGTGGATCACCTGAGGTCAGGAGTTTGAGACCAGCATAGCTAACATGGCAAAATTCCGTCTCTACTAAAATAATAATAATAATAATAATAATTACAAAAATTAGCTGGGTGTGGTGGTGCAAGCCTATAATGCCAGCTACTTGGGAAGCTGAGGCAGGAGAATCACTTGAATCCAGGGAGCAGAGGTTGCAGTGAGCTGAGGTCGCACCACTGCACTCCAGCCTGGGTGAGAGAGCAAGACTGTCTCAAAAAAATAAATAATAAAATAAAAATAAGGCAGATTTTTTTTTCAATCATACCATCCTTATACAAAAAGTAATGAATGTAATGCCATGAAAACGTGGTATGTGAACTTTTGGACATAGGCTAAAGAGGTAAAGTTTTTATACTGCCTATAAGAACAAACTCCTACTTAGAAGCTATAATTTTAACACCAAATCTGAAGAGAGATATGGGACAGACTGAGAACACAGTCTAGGTATTTTTCTCCATAGATATGAGGGACAGGGGATGGAAAAGTTAAAATAAAAACCTATGACACTGTTCTGAACAGGACATGACCTGCAGCCAAAGCACTGCATGTTTATAAATTTTAGGACTCTGCTCCAACTTTAGGAGTGTCAATATTAAAGTGGTTATGGTGAAGAAAAAAAAGTGTCACACCAAGTTTAAAATTAAAACCAGGTAAAATTTCCTCCAAAGCCTCTAATTTTGAATATTCAAGATAAAGTCTTCATGATCTTATAAACTTCTATACTAGCAATCAAGATTAAAACAATTACAATGGCTTAGAAACCCTGGGTGATAATTTTTTCTCTTAGTTTATCATCTTTGGTTAGGAGAGAATGCAGGGCTGACATCTTTTTATATACTACAATTTCAGGCAGACAGCAAGAACCGCCTCATATTCCTAAGGTTAATTTCAAATTAAGAACTTTTATAGCAGACTAGATATTGCCTCTTTAGCATTCAGCAAGAGTCTGACTTATGTTGAAGCCTATATGAAAATGACTATTCTAAAATTATGCAATTAGTGTGTCAAATGTTCTGAGTTTTAAACATAGTATCTTTTGAAACCAAAGCAGTAAAACATCCTTTCATTCATGATACCTATGTATTCCACCCCCATAAAACGACACACCCTAAATATTTAGCAAAACCATAAACAAATCACTGGAAACTTAGGAGAATATCTTTTTTTTTTTTTTGAGGCAGAGTCTTGCTCTGTCGCCCAGGCTGGAGTGCAGTGGCGCAATCTTGGCTCACTGCATGCTCTGCCTCCCGGGTTCCCACCATTCTCCTGCCTCAGCCTCCCGAGTAGATGGGACTACAGGTGCCCGCCACCACGCCTGGCTAATTTTTTGTATTTTTAGTAGAGATGGGGTTTCACTGTGTTAGACAGGATGGTCTCGATCTCCTGACCTCGTGATTCACCCGCCTCAGCTTCCCAAAGTGCTGGGATTATAGGCGTGAGCCACCGCGCCCAGCCAAGAATATCTTTTACATACAATTATACATATTTGGAGTTTTAATCTGTTATTCTGACAGATATGGAATGATGAATCATGTTTCTGACACTGATATTCCTCAGCAGATATTTATTCCTTCTCTTTACAAGATAAATACTTTAATACAGACATGCTCCAAATATATTCTATGACCCAATTAACTGGATCAAAACTGAACAAAATACATGCTTTAGTCAGTACCCATTCAACACAACAACAGTTTGCATGCTATATAAAGCTAAGACCATATGTCTACTACATGCTCATAGCACCTCCAAGAAAGGTCAGCTGGTAGCCTAAGAAACACTCTGAACACAATTTTAAGTCTATTTAGGGCAAAAGGAAGGTCCAAGTGGCTTCTGCCAGGTGTCTTACAATAACCAATTAGGTATGGCTTACCTGTGAGGTATCCTGCTGTTTGTGACTCAGAAATGAACAAATCATGTTTCTGATCTTTGAAGGCACTCCAGACTGAAGAACGGCACAGGATTTCATTCACCTAGGAAAGTAAAACAAGCCCTTTGAACATAAAATCAAGGACTGGATGTTGGAAGACAAAAAGAAAAACCAACTTCCAAAGCAACAAGGAAGAAGGCCAGTGAGGAAAGACCCAAATATGGAGCAAGAACTAGCATTCATCAAACACTCCATAGCAGGCACTATGCCAGACACATCTCATTAAGGCAGACCCAAAGAAGTCCTCAAGTCAGTCGTCCCTCTGAAGCTGGACTCTATTATTTGAACCTACAATTACCGACTTATATGTAATTCAAGGAGGAAGATACCTATGCAGAGTATTTTCTTGTGACAGTAACAGATGGCTGACAGTGTATGGGCTGATGAGCTATTCCTGAGGAAGGAGTTTGGGGAGAAGGTACAGCCAAATTGAGCTAAAACTTAAAGCAGTGTTTCAAATTATGAGCTGTGACCTAAAGAGGTTTATGAAACAATCAGGAGTGTTGTTGAAAAAACAAAATTGGTCAATATAGAAAGCATCAGAGTATCAGAAGTAAAATGAGGACTTGTATATACTTGAAATACATACACATATATGAGTATAAATAATACATGTGTGGGAATATGCACTAAACTAAGATGAAAGACATTTCTGTGTGACAAAACATTTAGGAAATACCACCTTAGTGAATAGCTTTTGCACATCAATGTTCATATCTAGTATTTACTGAGCACCTCTTATGTGGTAGGCACAGTGAACACAAAGATGAGAAAGACAGACTGTCTCTGAAGTGCTTACAATCTAGTAGGGAAGACAGCGTCAAATAATTTTGTGGTAAGAATTAAAGTAGGGTTATACAAGGGGACCATGTGAGTCCAAGGGAGGGGGGCACCTGCTCCAACCCGGGAAAGAAGCAGTAGTGGAAGTGATTAGTTGTAAAGCTGGTAGGGGAGTTCCTATTTAGAAACTACTATACCTCTTTCCTCCCCTCCCTTGGGTGTAGGAAGTGGGTGTCAGGATTACTTTGCTAATTTCATTACCAGGAATCCTGAGGCAAGTCAAAGACAAGACAACTGCTGCAAGTGGTACGCAGGAGAGCCTTTGCTTGGCATTTAGAACACTCATAGGCAAAAACCAAGAAAATACTTCTAAAAACACATCAGTTAATGACTGCAGCAATACTGCAGTCTCTTCTTTAATATCTGCAGAAGTGCTGCCTCTCTTCTTTAATATCTCTTTTTTTTTTTTTTTTTGAGACAGAGTCTCGCTCTTTCACCCAGGCTGGACTGCAGTGGCGCTATCTCGGCTTACTGCAAGCTCCGCCTCCTGGGTTCCCGCCATTCTCCTGCCTCAGCCTCCCGAGTAGATGGGACTACAGGCGCCTGCCACCACGCCTGGCTAATTTTTTGTATTTTTAGTAGAGACGGGGTTTCACCGTGTTAGCCAAGATGGTCTTGATCTCCTGACCTCGTGATCCACCCGCCTCGGCCTCCCAAAGTGCTGGGATTACAGGCGTGAGCCACCGCGCCCAGCCTAATATCATTTTAAATCATTTAAATGATCATATTGATAGAATGACAATGGTATGAAAAATGTTTCTTTACTTGAAACATACAAATCCAGTAAATTCATTACCGGGAAGCTGTAGCTGAAGTCAATTAAAACCTATGGAACATTAGTAGGGGAAATAACCCAAATGTCCATCAATAGATGAATGGATAAACAAATTGGAGCATTTACGTACAATGACATATTTAGACATAAAAATGAAGCATTGGTAACATGGATGATGCTTAAAAACATGCTAAATGACAAGATAGACACAAAGGGTCACATATGTATGATTATATTTATATGAAATACGCAGAAGAGGTAAATCCAGAGACAGAAAACAGATTGGTGGGTGCCAAAGGTTGGGGGAAGGAAGAAAGGGAGAGTAGCTGCTGAATGGGTACAGAGGTGATGAAAATGTTTTGGAACTAGATACGGTGGTGTTTGTACAACACTGTTAATGTCCTAAATGCCACTTAACTATTCACCATAAAATGGTTAATTTTATGCTATGTAAATTTCACGTCAATTAAAAAAAAATGAGCATTAGTAGATGGGGCTATATAGTACACTGAATGAGGAACTCCTTAGAGGAAATAATAAAAATAAAACCAATGAGGAAAATTAAATTACTGAACAGGCCTGAAGTCAGCAAATACGTGCAGCTGAAATACATTAACACACATAGGAAAAACAAAGTCACGACCAAAGAAAAAAAAAAACCAACACTTTTTAAGCACCAGCAAGAAAGGAAATGAAAACAAAAATGATGTTCTACATCTTTTAAAATAGCATTATGGGATGGTTAATGAATTTGGTTATCACTACCCATGAATAACTCCTAGAGCTGAAAGTTAATCTTAAGCAGCACTAAATGCTGCATATTCCATGCTAAAGATTTCCAGCATTTTTCTTCCTGAAATGTACAACATGCCATCACTATCCAGAAGAATTCTCCTGAATATTGAGTATATGGTTTATGCTTTTTCATCAGTTATGAGGCAGGTATGCAAGTCCATCCTTGGGCTCTGGATCTTCTCCAGTTACAACCAACAGAACCATATCTGTAAGTGGAACTTGAACACAGGTACGTGGACCATCCATGGCCAAGACCCTGGCTTTTAGAATATCAAAAGTTGACTCTATGCAGACTCACCTGTTCTCCATACTGCAAACTTCGAGTCATTGCCTTGAGAGCTTTAACAATCTGAGCCTTAGTGGCTGCTGGGCTGTCCAGGTTTTCAAGGCCAATGCCTTCGAGTAATTTTAAGAGGTATGGAACCAAATCTGCTTTCAGGGCCTAGAAGAAATATTAAGCATATATAAACACACAGAAAAAATGCAAATCATCCACTGAAGAAATAATTTTACCCCCAGGACCTACCTGGAAGGCAGCCTGTTGCACCGTATTTTAATGCCATACACAGGCTTAAGTATCTAATGACATTTTTATTTAATGAGATTTTATTCTGTCCATTAACCATTCTAAATGCTATACATCAATTATTTTATTCAATTAATGCACAGAGGGTAAAACAGTATGTTCATAATCACAGAGCTGGGCAGTATTAAAATATGTATCTGGAGCCAGAAAACATAGAACCTGAGCTTTTAGCCCCTATACTGGGCTGCCTGCCCTAGTAACACTGTATTAATAGGCAACAATCTCTGAAATACATTAGTATTTTTTCATATTTTCTTCAAACATCAATCTTTGTGGTCATCGTACATTTCATATCAGCCTAATAAAAGCTGAATAATAATCTAATGTCACAATTTTCACTATCCATTTTGAAACTCAGAGGGAATAGGAAGAAATAAAAGACATTTAGTGAATGCACCTCTTTTTTCAGGTACTGTTCTCATAACAACCTTGTGAGATAGTCACAACCTTATTTTACAGATGAGAAATCTGAGCATTTTAAGGTTAAATATCATGTCTGAGGTCAGAGAGCCAACAAGTGGTAGTACCAGCTCATGTTCTTTCCTACACATCAAACTCCTCAAGCCAATCATAAGTCTGAACCTTAGAGCATCCAGTATCTCCTTGAGATGTACCCAACAGCTCTACTTGCCTCAATGAGGGTCCAGTGGGTAAGGCTGAGGGGCTGGGAGAAGGGGAAGCCCAGATAATAAAGATGCAGGGCCTTGTATTCTGGCTAAGGATACCAGATGTCACTTAGTCATCTGGCAGGTAATGAGAAACCACTGAATGGTTTTTAAGATGAAGAATGGCTCAGTTATATTTCAGAATTCTATTTAAATACTTTATTATTTTTTATTGTATGTATTTATGGGAAATAAAGTGATGTTATGACACATGCATACAATGCAGAATAAATCAAGCTAATTAGCATATCTACCATTACAAATACTTATTTTTTTGTGGAAACATTTAAAATTTACTCTTACCAATTTTGAAATATACAATGTATTATTAGCTATAGTCAACATAATGCACAATAGATCTTAAAAGCCTTATTCTTCCTAACAGAAACTGTACTTTTTGACCAGCATTTTCCCATTCTCCCCAACCCCAGCCTCTAGTAATCACTATTCTACTCTCTGCTTCATAAGTTTGATTGTTTTAGACTCCACTTACAAGTCAGATCATGTGGTATTTGTTCTTTGAGTTACATTTTAGAAAGATCGCTTTTGTAAGTTTTTAAATTTATTGCATCTTTTTTGTTCCATCAACATCTGTCTACATGGATATCCACCAAGTCCAGTTTTCATTAGGTGGATAGTCTCTTTGAAAAAGGCAGTATCTTGGCATGTTTCTTAAACATGACTTAAGAAACAAAGGAATAAATAAACGAATGAATTTTTCCAAAGAGGATGAAGCACATTTTACAAATCAAGCTAAACAAGCTACTAAGCTAATTGCACAATGGATAGCCAAAATGTAAATTTTATACACCATAAAAGTACTCTCAAGTTGGTAAGACTGTTGGCAGCTGGCCCCATTTTTGTGTGTGTGTATATATACACAAACATCCATGTATATATACATACACATATACACACGTATTATACACACTACTGTATGTGTTTGTATATATAAAATATAAAATTGTTTATACACAAACTCACAAGTTAACTCTCACCAACCTTAAGTCAAGGAAACCAAATCAGTACCAAATAGGTAAAAATCTACTTGGTATGTTTGCTTTCCTAAAATAGTGCTAAATCTAGAAAGTCACTTACTTGTGCTACTAATTCACTCTGCTCCTTCTGAAACATTCGATTAATTGCTTCACAGGCTAGACCAACAGTATCTGCTCGCTTTTTCATTCCATTCATCAGTGGGCCAATGGTCTCTAAAGATGCCATGGCTCGAACACACAGCTAAGTGCCCAAAAGAGAAGGTTACTTGTAGACTGGCAATATTTATATAACATAGTAAATACCATAACAAAATAAGTAAATAAGTAAAAAAAGAATCCCTTACTTTCAGTTTAACAATGAATTGAACCAAATTTAATCTATTAATTATATCACCTAAACTGGTATTTATCAAAACTGATTTGATAAATACCAGTTTTGATAAACCCAGAACTAATAAAATACCATGTGGTTCGTATGCAAAAAGACACATGGCAGAAAGGGGATTTATATAATACTACAACTTATATCCGTCAAGAAGGGAGCATAGATAAATTCTGGAGCTTATAAACTACTAAGTGTATTCATCAATACCTCATTTTCAGACAAGGCATGGATAACCCGAATGGCACTCTTAGGAATGGCATTGTTCCTATGATTCATTGCCTGGATAACTTTGGGAAGATGGCCCAATGGCGGGACCTGATCTGCCAGCTGAGGTTGTGCGCTGAAGAGACACACTGTTGCCATTGTCAAGGTTTCCAGAGTTTCTCCCTGCAGGTGTAAAACAAAAATAAATCAACTATAAAATACTCATACAGCCCTAAATATCCAAGGTAATGTATTTGGTGTTCAAAACTAGGGATTCAAAAGTTCTAAGTGCTGATACTTGAAAACAGATTCACTAATCCTAAGAGAACAACGAACTTCCCATTTTCTTTCATAAAAGGCATGAATCTAAAGGACTTTAAGAATATGCTATTTTAATCTAAGCAGGATTTTACTCGGTTAGGTATACCCAATTTCTATTGCAGGTTTTTTTTGAGACGGAGTTTCGCTCTTGTTGCCCAGGCTGGAGTGCAATGGCGCGATCTCGGCTCACCACAACCTCTGCCTCCCAGGTTCAAGCAATTCTCCTGCCTCAGCCTCCCAAGTAGCTGGGATTACAGGCATGCACCACCACGCCTGGCTAATTTTGTATTTTTTTTAGTAGAGACGGGGTTTCTCCATGTTGAGGCTGGTCTCGAACTCCTGACCTCAGGTGATCCGCCCGCCTTGGCCTCCCAAAGTGCTGGTATTACAGGCGTGAGCCACCGCGCCCAGCCTCTATTGCAGGTTTAAGAGATCATGTCCCAAATGATATTACTAGAAATTTTTAGACCATGTTGCAGGTATGTTAGTGTCAGAACAATAATCCAGAAGAATGCAGAACTAGTGAAATGTTTTTCCCAGTTTCATTAAAAATCCTACTATTTAACATGTCTGGCTCCCACAAAGCACTTTCTATTGTGGATAACGGATTGGAAAGACCTTCAGCTTATACCACTAGATGCACACATCCAGAAACATAATAAAATGCATCTTAAATTAACATTAAAATTGGAATGTGTCCAAAAAGAAAGGTGATATAGGAGGAAACTGCTATGTGCTTTCCCTAAGTTTTAGCTTTTGAGGACTGCATTTTCCAAGCAAACTATGTATGTAGTAGAAATCCTATTGGAGGAATATGACTATGGAAAGTAGCACTGGTAAATACTCAGCAAGCTAATCATGTTTTAAAAATATGTTTTACTAAGCTAATGATAGTAACTAATTTCTAAGCACTTGAAATGTGCCAGACATTATGTTAAGCATTCTATATATGTATTAACTCATCAGAACCTCTGCCTCAGAGGCAGCTGCTATGACTATTCTATAAATGCAGCAACTGAGGCAGAGTCATGAGGTACTGCCCAAGGTCACAGACCTGGTCAGTGGTATGGCTGGAACCATCAAATAACACCACTCAGGCTCTTAATCACCTTATTCTGTAGCCAGCCTGTTTAAACAACAATCATGTAGGTCAACTGTCTTCAATCTCAACAAAATCTTAAACCTTCTGAAAACAAAAAAGACTTTGAAAAACAAAATCTTATATACTATCACGGTATTTGGCTTGCCAAACCCAAGACCAAAGTTACCTTTTCACTCACTCCTGCTTTCCTGGCAGCCTCAGCCACAGATACAGGATTCAACCACATAGTTACTACTCTTCTGTCAATTTCTTTGACTAGGGTTATCCCTGCCATATACACAAAGTAGAGTGCAGCACATGCCCAAACAGAACACACTCTCAGAGGAACACCGAACACACAGGTTTCTCCTTAAAATTACATATTCATTAGAGATGGACAGTAAAAACCTTCTTTTCAGGCTTCTGTAACTGTTAGAAATAGCATCCTCTCAATATAGATATCTCTATAACTTTGGTTCATAAACATACTAAAGAGCTTCACTTTTGAACATGGCAAAAAAATGATCGAGGGGCATATGTGAATTTAAATGTGGCTGCTATATTGAAAGAGCTGGCCAATTCCTAATTCATGGTCTTTGTGAATAAGGTTGTAAGAGAAACACCATCAGTCTAGTTAGCCAAGTCTTTGAAATGTTTTGCTTTTGACTGAAGCTTACATGAGGATTGTTCTTCTCTAGGAGCTCAGTTAATTTTTCTAACAGGGCAATAAGAAATTCTCTAGGCTTTCTTAGAACCCAGGCTGGTTGTGCAATAAAGATCCTCAAGAAGACTCCTCCAACAGCAAGTTCACCCTCTGCTTCTCCAAACACCACAGCAAAATCTTCAGGCAACTTTAAATAGAGAAAGAACCACAGTCAAGTCACTTAATAATCTTGAAGCTAGAAATGCACACCATATTAAAGAATTGTTTATAATGTTAACCAGTCCACAAACAGCCATAATATAATCAAATTATGAGTTTTATTTTTTCTTAATAAAGTTCAGAAAGGGTGCCCTTACTAACTTCGAAAGTAAGTATTCCAATTTTTATGTTTGAAGCCTTATTTTCCAGGGGAATACCCAAGAGTCTTGATGACAAAGTAGTTATAGGTCGGCATTAAACTGACTCAGTAGAAAGTGAAAACAACTAAATCAACAGAAAATAAGATGTAAAATAAAAGTATATTTTACCTTCCAGTTTGCCTCAGGGTTGTCCTGCTGATTTTTAAAGTGCCTTGGGGAAAAAAAGGGATGGATACCAAACTTCAGTCACAAATACATTTTCATTAACCTTTAGCATAAGTTTTAGAGGTGATGGGCACAGTAAGAAATGTTTGCCCTTCCCAGTGATTTTATTTAAAGGCTATAAATTATTACCTTTGTTTTTACTTACTCTAGCATCATTTCCCTAACTGTTGTGGACACTTTATCTCTGGAATTATCATTCCAAATTAACTCAGGATTTTCATGAGTTCCTTCAAAAATATGTACAGCAGCTTCAGGATTGTCTCTCATAGCATCCATGAAAACGCTTGGTAGAAATTTCATTAACGTAATTCGAACCTATACGAGGAAGTTTGAGAATGAAAAAGACACCTATTGGAAACACCTCAATATTTTGTTTGTATTTTGCTAATAAGATAGAATATCAACATAATTTGTGTTATGACTTATGTGGGCCATAACCATTACCTAAAAGTTCTGGAGTGAAAAAGATAATCCTCGGTTTATGCAAAGGTACCTTTAAATAAGACTCAGTACGACCTGAACCTACTTACCTATCAAGTTTCATTTTCTCTGTTCTGCCATGGTGACCAAAAAAGTTTCATTTTCACCCCCTGCCTCCGTATCACTAGTATGGTAAAGTTCCCAGAGCACACCTCATAGGTCTTGCCTTACAATATGCAGAATGCCCTTAGCCAGGCTTGTCCCTTCCAACTCTCTTTTATAGCCCCTGCCCACACAAACTAATTTTTCTCATTCTACCTCTGTCTTACAAGTATTTTCTAGTGCATTTATTTTGCTGCATGTTTTATGTTACACTGTGTCTTTTTCCAGAAAGGATTTAAAAAGCAGCTTTTAAAAAATACATCTAGCACATACATACAGACAAAATGAAAATTCATGTGAGGCATGGGGCAAAGGGAAAAATGAGGGTTGGGAAAGTGTTTTTCCTTCAGATCGTCACGTTTATCTCTTCTCCGTGTCAAATTCTGGGCTCAAATCTTATCTTACGGAAACCCTCTAGGCCCAATCTTTCTTACTCATTGCTTGTATTCTCAGCCCCTGGCACATAACAGATGCTTAAATACTTGAATAAATGAAGACTAATATGAAGTCAGCACACGAAAGAAACATAAAACCTCCATAACTGCCAGAGATATACTACAAATTTAGCTCTGAATTTCCTAGCAGCCAATGAACTAAATTTCAATTACATAACAGAACACCCACAAAATAAAATCATGTCAGTTGCTTCAGAGACACCCAACTGTTTCTGGAGGAAAAAAGCAATTTCTCCTGGGGTTCCCATGGAAGGGCATTTGTTATATATTAAATAATACCATCAAGGTAAACTCAACAAGAGGTTTCACAGGCTTATTTCTTCCTATATTCCCTAAATATGATGAGAGTATTGTGCTGAAATATAATTAAACTCTACAGAGGACAAGAGAAGGTAGACAAAGTGATTAAGTATGTCCTTCTTCTTGGTCATGAGCTCCCTGAGTGTAAGAACAATGCTTGACCTGCTCACTGTGGTATATCTGCCCCTAGTAGCTCATTCTCACAAAGACCAGAGAAATTACATGTCAAAGAAGCACCTAAAAGTTAGAGCGGGATTTAAAGGCCATTTATTTCAATTTTTTCACTGTGGAGCTAAAGACAGACAAGTTACCCAGACTCATTAAGTCAGTGATCTGTGATTCATAAAGCAAGAGTTTTGCTCAGAACGTTATGCTGCCATCTTGCTATATCAGGCCAATTACATCACCTTTAATACAACTGCTTATTGTTTTTTTGGACAGGGTCTCACTCTGCAACCTCGAACTCCTGGGCTTAAGTAATCCTCCCTCCTTAACCTCCTGAGTAGCTAAGATTACAGGTGCACTACCATGCTTGGCTAACTTCTAACCTTTTTTTTTTGTTTTTCTTTTTAAGAGATGGGGTCTCTCTACCTCACCCAGGTTGGTCTTGAACTCCTGGCCTTAAGCAATCCTCCTGCCTCAGCCTCCTGAATAGCTGGGATTACAGGCATGAGTCACTGTACATGACTGTTGTGTTTAAGGTTTTTAACAAAATTGTCTTCTGAAACATACTTAGCTGTCTCATAAGAATCACTGTTGTAATCATTCTACATAAATTTTAGGGCAGAAATATCTGATATGTCTTAACAGATTTCATTATAGACTAGTATTTAAAAGAACTCCTAATAACTAACCTATTTTAAAATATTTTGCAGCTTGAAACAAAAATTGAAATTTTTATGGCAAGTAAACTAAATTTTAAGTAATAACCTTTTTTAGAAGTGAACTATATACTTGTAATAAGCTGTATGTGTGTGACTGCTACAGAAATCATCTATTGACCAGTTGGGTGAATTTCAAATGTCTTATTTAAGAGCTATATTTATGAGTCTTATCAAATTGATATGAAAGCAAACTTTAATTGTATTTAGGATAACTGTCTTAACATGAGTCCTTTCATTTCTAAATTTATTTAATCTAACCTACTGTCATCTGATACTTTTAAAAAAGGCACATTATTTGACCAGCTGTACAAAATCAAAAGTCTCTTCCTATCGGATTTCTGAGAATGCTTGTTTAGTATTCTAATTTAATTCAATTTAATGAATGACCCAAGTCTATCATCTGTAAAAAGCAGTATTAAAGCAAAGTTTACCAGGATGTTTAAAGCATTTCAAATGCTAAGAACTACATAAGTTTATTACTCACTGGTGTGTATACTATTAAACATTTGAGCAAAAAACCTACATAAGGCAAATACCATGACCATAAATCTCCAGTTATGTTCAGGTTACTCAGCTATCCTAGAACAGGGGCTGGCAAAAAAGGGGTCACATCTGGCCTGCCATCTATTTTCGTATATAAAGTTTTGTTTGAACACAGCCACATCCATTTGTTCATTTACTGTCCATGGCTATTTTCCTGTCACAACAGAAGAGCTCAATATTTGTAACAGAGATCACATGCCCCACAAAGGATAGAATATTGACTATATGGTCCTTTGATATGGTTTGGCTGTGTCACCACCCAAATGTCATCTTGAATTTCCACATGTTGTGGGAGGGACGCGGTGGGAGGTAACTGAATCACAGGGGCAGGTCTTTCTCGTGCTATTCTGTTCTCGTGATAGTAAGTCTCAAGGGATCTGATGGTTTTAAAAAGGGAGATTTCCCTGCACAGTCTCTCCTCTTGCATCTGCTGCCATTTGAGACATGGCTTTCACCTTCCACCATGATTGTGAGGCCTCCCCAGCCACATGGAGATGTAAGTCCAATAAACCTCTTTCTTTTGTAAATTGCCCAGTGTTGGGTATGTCTTCATCAGCAGCGTGAAGCCCTTCATAGAGAAAGTTTACTGGCCCACCCCTATCTCACACCATGGATAAAAATTAACTCAAATGGATCAAAAACATAAACCTAAGAGCTAATACTATAAAAATGAGGAGAAAACATAGCCATAAATCTTTGTAACCTTGGATTAGGCAATGGTTTCTTAGATATGACATAAAAAGAACAAGCCAAACAAAAAATAAACTGGATCTCCTCAAAATTAAAAATTTTTGTGTTTCAAAGGGCACCACCAAGAAAGTGGAGAAACAATCAGGAAAATGTGAAAAAATACTTGAAAATCATACCTATAATAAGGGACTAGTATCTAAAACATAACAATTACAACTCAATAATAAAAATATAAATAATCTCAATTTAAAAATTAGTGAAGGATGTAAATAAACATTTCTCTTAAAAAGTTGTACAAATGGCCAATAAGCACATGAAAACATTAGCCACCAGGGAAATGCAGATCGAAACCATGATGTAACACATCATACCTACTAGGATGGTTGTAATAAAAGATATAACAAGCGTTAGAGAAGAAGATGATAAATACATTGCTAGGGGAATGGAAAATGGTAGAGCTACTTTGGAAAACAATCTGACAATTCCTCAAAAGGTTTAACATAATGTTACCATATGACCCAGAAATTTCACTCCTAACAAAAACACATGTCCACACAAAAACCTGTACACAAATGTTCACAGTAGTGTAATTTAGCAGAGCCAAAAAATAGAAACAATCCATGTGTCCATTGAGATAAATGGATACCAAAACACAGAATACTATTTGGCAATAAAAATAAATTTACTAACACTTGCTACAACATAGATGAAAACAACGGAAGCCAGTCACAAAAGACCATACATAGTATGATTCCATTTATATACAATGCCCAGCATTCGGCAAATCTATCCAGAAGGAAATAGATCAGTGGTTGTCAGGTGCTAGGGGAAAGGAAGAATGGACAGTGACTGCTAATAGAAATAGGGTTTCTTTTTGGGTTGATGAAAGTCAAACCTAAAATTGATTATGATCGCTCAATCTGTGAATATACTAAAAACCACTGAATTGTACACTAGATATGTGTGAACTGTATGGTATGTCAATGATATTAATATCTCAAGAAAACTGTTACCAAAAAGGAAAAAAAAATTTGGCCAGACACACTGGCTCACCCTGCAATTCCAGCACTTTTGGAGGCCAAGGCGGGTGGATCACATGAGCTCAGGAGTTTGAGACCAGCCTGGGCAACATGGCCAAACCTTTCCACCTCTACAAAAAAATACAAAAATTAGCCAGGTGTGGTGGTGCGTGCCTGTAGTGCCAGCTACTTGGGAGGCTGAGATGGGAGGATGGCTTGAGTCTGGGAGACAGAGGCTGCAGTGAGCTAAGATTGCACCACTGCACTTTCAGCCTGGGCAACAGAGCCAGACCTTGTCTCAAAAACAAAAAAATTTACCGACCCCGGTTCTAGAATCTCTTGCAATTAAGGTGTTGATACTTGTGTTTTGTCTATACAGAAAGTTTAAGTGTAAAAACAGTCAGCTTGATAAAATTTGTCCCTCACGTATTTCAAAGGTCAGAAATATAACCAAAGAGCTCAGTCAATTCCAGTACATACTTAAGCGTCTAAAACACTATTGACGAGTTAATGGGTGCAGCACGCCAACATGGCACATGTATACATATGTAACAAACCTGCACGTTGTGCACATGTATCCTAAAACTTAAAGTATAATAATAAATAAAAAAAATTAATAAAGAAAAAATAACTAATATTAGATATTACAGTTATGTGCTACCTAGCTCTAGCTTTAAGGAAATTCAATATTAACTATTTTATAGACCCTCCTGTAGGCTTCCAAATGTAATCTTGCTTGTCTCATCAACCCTGCAGAAGACTATTAACTTATTACTAAAGTAAAACTGTTTCAGGTCCTATGACAGATTCTCAATACCTAGACTGAGAGATCGAGCAAGAAAACAACTGAATCCAATTTGTTTTATTAATGTAAAAAGTGTTTAATTAGCCTCGGACTTTTTTTTTCAAACTGAACTTTACATGGAGGCACAATGTGTACAAAGGAAGCCACCCTGGCTTTAGATAGAGGTAGGGGATCTTAGCCTCCTCCTTACCCAAAGTGCCTTTGTGGACTTGCTTGAATAATGATCCCTAAATATCAGTCCGAATAGGCTTCAAAAGAATCACTTTGGAAGCATGTTAAGAATGGAGACTCCTGGGCCCCACCCTAGATCTACTGAATCAAACTCTGAAAGTAGGACTCCTGAGCCTTTATTTCATGTTCTCCCTATGACTAAGGGGCTGCTTTGTGGGCAGGCACAGAGGACTCTTCAGTGAGTACTACTTGTGAAACTGACTTAGTAACAAAATAAAGGGACATTGATACCACTTGCACCTGAATGAAATTCTATTCAGAACTATTGTTTTAACAGGTATCCTGCTCTCCAAACTGGACCATGGATCCAGAGATCATCCGGTTATCTCCAGATTTGGAATAAAAGATCTCCCTGCAGAGTTGGAAGCCAGAAGTGTTGTTACACTCATGCCCCTATATGAATTCACTGCTGAGGGTGGCATGTCCTTAATAATTCAGGTGTGGAATGTAAAATACACAAACCACCATCTCCTTCACTAGTTATTTCCACAGGCCAATCCTTGTAGTGTGAAAGTCTAACCTATCTTCTGTCATAGTCTTGATATACTTTTTGTTCCCTCTTCGAGGGAGATGAACAGTGTATCTTAATCCAAACATTCTCTTAAGACTTTTCAATTCCAGTACAGCCTGCCCTGACTCTAGTTTTCTCAAACAGTAATACATAGGAACAATTCCCGGAATGTGAATTTTCCAACTTTCACATCACCTCATTTCCTTATCCTCACCATCTCAGATTTCAGTAAACTTCTTGAAATCAGTATCAAAGTAACAATGCTTTAATAATTAATTTCCTTTCAAGAACTTATTTTGTGCCTACCTTTGGACCTATCAGTTTATCTGCTGTCATTTTGGCAAAAAGTTCTGCTGTTTGGGCTCGAACCTGTGGATGTGTTGAATTGCAGAACATATCCAGTAAATAGATCAAAGCACCTATGAAGGAAAAAGATAATTAGTGCTTATAAAGAATTTGACTTTTCTAATCAGAATTCATTTTCAACCATATTTCAACTGAATGTAGTTTTTAAAAACTGTAAACATTCCAAAGCATTCTTCTAGTTTATCAGGCTGTAAAATGCAGCTCAAAATAAGCTTCATTATATTGCACATGACTAGCTAAGAAAGCACTCTATACATTACCCTTTGCCATTGCTTCTTTGATTATTTTTGTACTCGATGTCAAAGCATAAAGAGTTTCCAGAACAAGCTGACGACCTGCAGAGTAAAAGACATTTCAAGGAATGCATCATCAGGTTAGCTTATATTTACTTGGCACCAGCTCTGTGCCAGGCACTTAACTAGATGTTCTACACAGGATGTCATATTTAATCCTCATAATAACCAGTGAGACAGGTATTTTCATGGCCATGTTATGAGTGAGGAAGCTGATGCCCAGTTTAACCGGCCCAAGGTCTCACAGCTAATAAGTGGTATAGTTGAGTTTTGTATGCAGGTCTGCCTCCAAAGTCCATATTCATAACCACTATAAAACCCTGTCTTCCTACCTCATTGTGCACTGCACATCCAAAAATCTGATTTCCTGACACCCAGAGGACACTCTAATCAGGCATCTAAGATTTTTACCTGGTGCTACTGTCTTGAGGGAAAAAGTAGGAAGTAGCAGTTGTAAGACCGGGTTCCATTCTAAGACATAATTGCATCCTTCTGGACAAAGCCTGTGTGCCTCTCACCCAGTCACTACCATATTATATGCAAGTATAGGTTACTGGACTTAACTCTTCTAGAGTCAAATGGGAATGACAGACAGGTTGCCAAAGGAATAAAGTGTTGGCAAATAAGGTAGAGGCTGCAAAGTATTAGGCTGAGATGAAAACAACAAGAACAGTAACAATGTACCTTAGCAAACAGTGTAAGATAATTTAGTCTGAAGTCTTAATGATAGAGAGTAGGCTAAAATATCTGGATGCCAGCTATTTTCCCTGTAAGACTAAAATATTGACTGGACTATATAAGTATAAAGTTACACTTTTAAAAATTATGAGTTCCATAACATCCTTTACTTCACCAACCAGTTTAGTTTTACATTGTTTGAAGTCTCACAAAGCTACTGAAAACCAAGAAAAAAGAAAAACCAACTAAGGTTGCAGGTATGATAAAAACAATCTGCAAATGACTTTACAAAGCTGCCATTTTAAAGACCTGTTTCAAGCATATCATGTATTGAAAAAAAAAAATTTCCATGGAAATTCAACTCAATTTACCAAACATAAACACCAAACATAAGCAAGCCACTGGTATATAAGATGAACGACACGGTTCCTTCTCTTAAGGAGGTGGACAGACATGAATTCTAGATTAATGTGACTTCAAAGGGATTGGCAAAGCCAACTAAGCAATGTATTCTGGTTATTGCTGAGTTTGAAGTTATATTGTAATTGCCTACAAACTCAATATTCCTGCCTTTGAAAAGCAATCTCAGGGTTGGTTTTAGCACAACTATAAACTATTAGACTAGGTAATTATATAGATTAGGGCAGGCTGTGTTCAGGAAATAAGGTTGATATATTTTTTAAACCACCTTGGTATTTTATCTTATTAATATCAAATCAGCAAAAGACAAAGTACACAGATTTGAACACTAAGCTGAATACAAGGCCATCTGTATCTTAAGCATGTTTTCTATCATCCAAGATTACTTATGTTTAGTAAACCATGAAATATTAGTTAATTCTCAATTACCCATGTGTAGATCTCAACAAACTGAAAATCCCAGGTTATTTTCCTTTGGTTTTGGACCTCTCTCACCCCCAACTTTCAACTTTTGACATAGGAAATGCAAGACAGTAACGTATGTAAAACATTATTAGGAAGACAAATCTAGTGTAAATAACACTTTAAAACTAAACATAGATGACATTTGTTTGAGGTTTTGTATCAACTATGCAACAACTCCTTTCCATGGGCTAATCTTGCTGTGGTTTCCAAAATTCCATCTGTATACATACTTGATGGCAATGAATGTAGAAGAGCCAATAAACTGGACAAAACCATTGATTCAGCAATATTGTTGACACAGTCTTGGTTAGATGTCACTATATTCACAACCTGAAAATTAATCAACAGGATAGTAAAAGTTTCAGAAATAATTTTGAACCTAAATCAAATTAGGTCATATAGACTGTACAAGTGAGACAAATGTTTGGGGGATGAAACATTTAGTTTTTAGATAAGAGTTTAATTTTAAAAGATTGCCTTTATTAATCTCTTTGGAAATAATACCTTGAGGTTTCTAAGAAGCCTTCAATCCTATACCCATACATGCTCCAGAACTAAGGTATATACTATAGTGTTTTCCAATTACAGAGTTTGGATAGGGGCTGGTGATTAGGAAAATAATGATTCTCACTACTGGGACTCTTACTTTTAGAGGAAAAAAGCAAATGTCTTCAGTACCCTGCACAATAGATTGGGGTTATGTTTCTATTATAAAGAAATAGGTATGTTTTTCTTTCAGAAAGGATGACCACTCACATCTTTGAGAGTATACATCTAAACATCATTGGTCAGCGTCTCAGTGCAACATATCCTACATTTAATGACGTTTATTTAAAAAGTTACAAGATGCTTGAAGGAATTAAGTAGGAAAACATGTTTTTCGATTTAAATAACTTGCTTGTTAAGCTCTTTGACCAATTTAAAGTTTTTTTATTCTATTAAAAATCTGTTTTAAGCCAAAATGTTATCTAAGAACATGTTACACAAATTATTCATAAACCATCTATATACCTGTTACTGCAGGGTTGCATTTGGTGTTCTTTGCAATAAACTGTGTGTCACAAAGAGCAAGATCTCAGAAATAATCCTGGGAAGTCTCGGTTGCCTGGGCAAAGAACTACTTGTGACTAGGGACTTCTTGCTTCTCTCAGAAGAAAAGGCTACATCTAAACAGCATCCTATGGGACCAGTGGCTTCAATATCCTGAACAAGGGGACTCCAACTTCTCTTGGACTCTTAAGACCCATGGGTTCTGGCAGTTGGCCTTTTTAGGCAACTCCTATAACAGCAGCATACCCAGGTGTCTGTCTGTAACCCTCACAGAAAAGGTAGCTCTTGTACTAGATTTGTAAGAAGGGAGTTTCAACTGCGGGGGAGGGACAAGGATCACTCCTCTGAAATGCAAACCCACAGTATGTAGCCAACAGATATGGCCTCAGTATGTCTCTCCATAGGAACACAGCAATCAGAAACCCTCTATCATCTTCTTGCTGATGTGTGGCTTCTAAGCTTCCCCAGTAAAGCCCATTCTTAACTCATACCTGACACTGTACAACACTATCCCAAGCCCTAACGCATAACAGAAAGAGAACCACTTAGAACGACATTGTGCAATTGTGCAATATTCACTCTTCAAATTGAGCATGTTAATTCAAATTTCAAAAAATATTGATGTGTCTTAATAGGCAAAATGATGCAACAAAAAAGCACACTTCAACTTCAGACAATGACTGATAGAGACTCAAATTACACATGGTAAGTGGTAGGAAAGGCAACACGCTTTAGTACAAAACGCTTTTACCTCTAAAGCCAACTGCTGCACTTGACCAGCTCCATGAACTCGGAGAAGAGAAAATATCAACTTAAAGTGCCCAATGCATTCACTCTCAGAACCTAGAGAATAAGAATAAAATGGTTTACTTCCAGGAGATGTTTGAAATTATTTAACTTCAGAAAACCGATATACACTGTTGTTTACTGTCAATTTTAAGTCTCTGATAACTGGTTCTAAACATCTGTGACATGAAGTAAGTGGAGGACCTCTAAGGAACAATAAGTCTTAAAAGGCAAAATGTAAGGTGTTAGAGCTTTTTAGGTTTACTTTGTTTTCATTCCCATCCCCACCCCTAACCCTCAGGCTAAGACCTTTATCAAATAAACAATCCAAATATAGCTCAAAAATCTAAAGTGTAAGGTAGTAATTTCACTCTACCTCTAGACCTTAGGGTTACCCCCCTCAACCTAATTATATTCTGGGAGACTCTGACATGATTTGGCTTTTAAATAAGACTAGGTTAGAACTCTGCCACTTAACTATAATACAAACAAACTGGTATGAATATACAAAGCACTCCTTGTGAAAATACATAAAATGAAATGGTATTTCCATTCCTACCCACCTCAAATCCTAATCCCATATATTTACTTCCGTTTTGTTCAGCATATTCTTCCTCTTCTATATGGTAGTAAAACATACAGTGTAATTTCTTATCTTTTGAGGATTCTTAAGATAGCTCAGTAAGACTCCTTCAACTTAAAGAGTCTGAGAATATTCTATAAATATGTTGCTTTTAAATTCATTTTCAAACCACTTATTGATAGGGAATAACTGTCAAATACATCAATGACACACAAACCATACTTCTAAATTACGAGAGAGTTAATTCTAATAAACTTGATGGATATTATCAGAAGGATTTCTGCACAGGCCTTTCTTCAACTCTTTACAAGTTCCAAATCAATAGTCTGCTCTGCTACAATTTCTTTGTACCTAACATACCACTAGTAATATTCGACACTTTGACAACTCCAAATAAAAGACAAGTTTTCTTCAGATTTTATAACACTGTCTTTAATAACATCCCAATGTACATCTTGTAAATGCGTAATTTTCCCAATATTTAATTACTGTTATTTTATTTAAATAACTTTTTGGCAATAACCCAAAAGTCAGAATTTTAACAGTACTTTAATACATACTAAGAAGAGTAAAAATGTACTTGAAAGGTAATGTTCAATGTTATTTTAAAAGATCGAGTAATTTAAATTGAATTTGTATCATTTTAGGTTTATGTTCTATATTTATTATCTAAGTTAGAGTTGAGAGAAGCTGTTACATTTTCACTCATCCATCTCCCTGGAGTCAGGCTAGAGTAATGTTTTTGGAAATGTCCTCTTAAAGATGATTAAGAGTAGGAACTCTCATATCTTTATTTCAATTTTTATACACCAAAAACTTCAGGCAATTTTTGAAAAACATCAGTGCCCATATGCACATGGCACTGGTTAGGGACCAGAAAGGAGGCAAAAATTAGATCACTTATTATTAAATAAATCTAATTCAAGCACTTATACTTGATATGTTAACTTAAGACATCAATGTGAAATTTTATACTATCAAACTATTCTGCCTTTTCAACTCATTTAGACACATGTTCTCATAAAGACATGAATTTTTCTAAACATAGTGCCTTGACCTCTCTCCCCAGCTTAACTTTTATTGTAAAACTATTACAGGGTCAATTCCCTGTAATGTTATATTAATACATTATAACCAAGTATAATTTTCCCTGAGTTTCCCTGATAAAATTGATTATTGGAATTTTTAGGGCTCCTGTATTATACGAGTCTTATTGATCAAAGGTGTAGTCACATACCTGGATTGTATTTTATGACATTTCTCAGAGCCTCCAAAGCCATTTCTACTCTCGGTAAGCGATCTCCATGTTGCTCTGACTCCACTTTTGCCGCGTGTGTGATGGCCATGAATGTGTGCAAGTATTGGGCCTGCGAGCCTATATAATCCAAGAGACTTGCAGCAAATGCTTTTGGAACCTAATCAATGCAGACAAGTATTTAAACAACATGGGTGCCCTAAGAAATAACTCCATAGCAAAAGAAAGAACTTTAAGCTATGAAAGTGAATAAAACATGATTAAATTATACATACACATGAATACACCTATGCACTATAGGGGGGATGTAGAGGGCAGGAAACATTATAAAGTATTTCTCAACTTCCAGAGATCTGATATACTCCCATTAGTATCTTAGTGTAACAATTCTGAGATTAGAATACCTCCTCCCTTTATCAATCGAAGTAACAGATAGTATGATACAGAACTTCTAAAATTTGGTTATATTTTTATAATTAAGTTATATAAAATTTAGAAATTCAAAGGACAATTTTCAAAGGGACGTCACAAGTCACTTAACTCATTCTGCTTAATAGCTATTTACATATATATTACTCTGTGATACGTGATATACATTATGGCATAGTACATTTTTCCTCTAAGAGTAAACTCTAAAACAAAGCCTCACTTCTTTCCTTTTTACAAACAAATCAACCACCAAATCCTCTTTGCCACCTCCTACAAGCCAGGGGCAGTGGCTTGAACCTGTAATCCCAGTTACTTGGGAGGCTGAGACAGGAGGACTGCTTGAGGCCAGGAGTTTGAGACCAGCCTGGGCAAGACAGTGAGACCCGTCTTTAAATAGAAAAAACAAAAAATGAAAGCAAAAACTCCCTATATGATCCCCAAGCACTCAGAAGAAGCTCCTCAGCTGCTTCTGGAAGTGATGAGGAATCATCACAAAAGATGATCTGATGTGACTCCAGTCATCTTCTAAAAAAATCTTTATTTTCAACCTATATTTTCTCCTAATATTGGCCAGAGGAAGCCTTGTGTCTGGTGGTCTGATATCCCTTGTGATGAAATGAGCATGTAACTGGCCTTGTACGTCCATGAAGGACTAGTGAGTTAAAGGCATATAAACATGGCCCAGTGGGATAGCAGTAGGCACAAAATATAAGAAAAAGCTGGGCAAGGAACAACTTCTTATGAATAAACTTCACAAAATTCAATTCTTCAACAATCAAGATAAAGAGGCTCACAAGCTGTCAGTGGTCACCCCATCACAAGCATTTGGTATTATTTCGGTGTAAAGGCACACCTCAGAGATAGTGTGGGTTCAGTTCTGGATCACCAAAATAAAGCTAATTTTTTGGTTTCCCAGTGCATATAAAAGTTATTTTTACATTATACTGTGGTCTATTAAGTGTACAATAGTATCATGTCTAAAAAAAACTACGTGCATACCTTAACTGAAAAATGCTAACAATCATCTGAGCCTTCAGCAAGTCAATCTTTTTGCTGGTGGGAATGTCACCTTGATGTTGACAGCTGCTGACTAATCAGGGTGGTGGTTGCTGAAGGTTGGGGTGGCTTCCCAAAGTAAAACAAAGAAGTCTGCTCTATCAGCTGACTCTTCCTTTCATGAAAGATTTCTTTGTAGCATGTGATCTGTTTGACAACATTTTATCCACAGGAGAATTTCTTTCAAAATTGAAGTCAATCTTCCCAAACCCTGCTGCTGCTTTATCAACTCAGTTTATGTAATATACTAAATCTTTTGTCATTTTAACAATGTTCACAGCATCTTCACAAGATTTCATCTCAAGAACCACTTTCTTTGCTTATCCACAAGAAGCAACCCCTTTTTCTCTTCAAGTTTTATAATGAGATTGCAGCAATTGAGTCACATATTCAGGATCTACTTCTAATTCTAGCTCTCTTGCTAGTTCCAGCTCATCTGCAGTGACTTCCTCCACTGGAATCTTGAACTTCTCAAAGTCATCCATGAGAGCTGGAAACAATTTCTTCCAAGCTCCTGTTAATACTGATATTTTTACCTCCTCCCATGAATCACAAATGCTCTTACGCATCTAGAAAGGTGAATCCTTTCCAGAAGGTTTTCAATTTGCTTTGCCCACATCCATTAGAGGAATCACTATCTATGGCAGCTACAGCTGTTTGAAATGTATGTTTTAAATAACAAGATGTAAAAGTTGAAATTACTCCTTGATCCATGGGCTGCAAAATGGATGCTGTATTAGCAGGCATGAAAACATTAATCTCCTTGTACATCTCCATCGGAGCTCTTGGGTGACCAGGTGCATTGCCAACGAGCAGTAGTATTTTGAAAGCTCTTTTTTTCCTGAGCAGTAGGTCTCCACAGTGGGCTTAAAATATTTGGTAAAACATGCCATAAACAGACGTGTTGTCATATAGGCTTTGTTCTTCCATTTATAGAGCACAGGCAGATTTAGCATAATTTTTTAAAAATAATTTCAACTTTTGTTTTAGATTCGGGGGTACATGTACAGGCTTGTTACCTGGAATACTGAAGTTTGGGGTATGACTGTCACCCAGGTACTGAGTACAGTACCCAATAGTTTTTCAACCTTGACCACCCCCGTCTTCCCTCTAGTAGTCTCCAGTGTCTATTATAGCCACTTTTATGTCCATAAGTACCCACTGTTTAGCCTCTACCTATAAGTGAGAACAGATTTATCATTCTCAAAGTTCCTAGGATTTTCAGAAGGGTAAATGAGCACTGGCTTCAACTTAAAAGTCAGCAGCTGCATAAGCCTCTACCAAGACAGTCAACTTGTCCTTCGAAGCTTTGAAGCCAGACATTGCTCCTCTCTAGCTAAATCCTAGATGGCAAGCTCTCCCAATAGAAGGCATTAGAAACTTGTTTAGTGTAGTGACCTTCAATTATCTTAGCTAAGTTTCTGGGTAATTTGCTGCAGCTTCTCCATCAGCACTTGCTGCTTCACCTTGCACTTTTAGGTTATGGAGACAGTTTTTTTCCTTAAACCTCATGAGCCAATCCCCCCTAGCTTCAAACTTTTCTTCTGCAGCTTCCTTACCCTCTATCTCAGCCTTCACAGAATTGAAGAGAGTTACAGCCTTGCTCTCAATTAGCCTTTGTCTTATGGGAATGTTGTGGCTGGTCTGATCTTCTATCCAAATCATTAAAACTTTCCATATATCAGCAATAAGGCTGTTTCAATTTCTTGTCATTCATGTATTCATTGGAGGAGCACTTTTAATTTCCTTCAAGAACTTTTCCTTTGCACTCACAACTTGGCTGTGTGGCACAAGAGGCATAGCTTTCGGCCTATTTAACCTTCTGACAAGCCTTCCTCATCAAGGTTAATCATTTCTAGCTTTTAATTTAAAGTGAGAGACCTGTGACTCTTCCTTTCGCTTGAACACCTAGAGGCCGTTGCAGGGTTATTAACTGGCCTAATTCCAATATTGTTGACTCAGGGAATAGGGAGGCCAGAGGAGAGGGAGACCAAGGAATGACTGGTTGGTGGAACAATCAGAACACATACATTTATTGATGAAGTTCACTATTGATGAACTTCACGATCTTATGTAAACAATTAGCAAGAGCAACATCACTGATCACAGATCACCATAATGTGATAATGAAAAAGTGTGAAATATTGAGAGAATTACCAAAATGTGACACAGAGACATGAAGTGAACACATGCTATTGGAAAAATGGTGCCAATAGGCTTGCTTGGCACAGGGTTGCCAAAAACCTTTGATTTGTTAAAAAAAAAAAAGCAGCACAGTAAAGAAAGTGCAATAAAATGAAGTGTGCCTCTATAAAGTGTGAATAAACTAGTAACTTTCAGTAACAAATGATCAAAGGTATCAGGTAAAATTAAAAGCAGAGAGCTTACCTCCAGTTGGAAAGTAGGAACTTCATTATACACCCTAACAAAAATCTCCCCTACAATAAGTTCTTTGGCATGATCACTGTAGACAAATTCTGATCCATAAGTTTTGTCACAATCACCCTTTTTAAAAGATGAAAAAATAGACTGTTAGATGTAAATCTATCCATGTTCAGTTTAATAACTTAACAGATAAATAACTTGAGAGATCTATGCATATTCTAGAGAAAAAATGTGGTGTGATACATGTCACAGCACTTAAAAAGACTTTGGAATAGGCATACAATTACATTATAATTTTTTATCCCAAATATTACTATTATTAACTCATTTTAAAATTTCAAAGGATCAGAGGTCAGCTAACAAAGGTCTTAGAGCCAGAGTTTATAAAGCAAGTATGACGCTTTATTCTTCTCAATCAACTCAGCAGACATCAGACCTAGTAAGACGTAGGATGACAGAGCTGAGAAATGAGCATATTTGGACTGGGTTTTAAAAAGTAATACACTAGGCCGGGCACGGTGGCTCATGCCTGTAATCCCAGCACTTAGGGAGGCCGAGGCGGGTGGATCATGAGGTCAAGAGATCGAGACCATCTTGGCCAACATGGTGAAACCCTGTTTCTACTAAAAATACAAAAAGTGGCTGGGCGTGGTGATACATGCCTGTAGTCCCAGCTACTTGGGAGGCTGAGGCAGGAGAATCACTTGAACCTGGGAGGCAGAGGCTGCAGTGGGCCGAGATCATGCCACTGCATTCCAGCCTGGCAACAGAGTGAGACTCAATCTCAAAAAAAAAAAAAAAAAAAAAAAAAAAAAGTAATACACTGAACAAAAGTGCTAAAAAATAGAGGAGGAATGGGAGAAAAACAGTCCCATGAAGATTAAGACTGAAACCAAAACGAATTTAGATTGGACTAAAATAACATGTAAAAGTATAGAATAAATTATAAAATGCTAAACAAAGAGATGTTATTATGTCTATTCTGGTAAAAGATAATGTACAGAAGGCCGGGCGCGGTGACTCAGGCCTGTAATCCCAGAACTGTGGGAGGCTGAGGCGGGCGGATCACCTGAGGTCAGGAGTTCGAGACCAGCCTGACCAACATGGAGAAACCCCATCTCTACTAAAAATACAAAATTAGCCAGGCATGGTGGTGCATGCCTGTAATCCCAGCTACTCGAGAAGCTGAGGCAGGAGAATCACTTGAACCCAGGAGGTGGAGGTTGCGACGAGCCGAGATCATGCCATTGCACTCCAGCCTGAGCCAACAAGAGCAAAATTCCATCTCAAAAAAAAAAAAAAAAAAAAAAAGATAATGTACAGACATGTAAGACCCGTTCTCCCTAGCTCTGCAATTCTCAAAAATTTTATCTATAAAGAGTTCTAGATGACTAACATGGAATGAGCTCAAAAACGCTAAATAACTGAGATGTTACAGTAATAGTTACTCTAATTTCCAAAGCCACACACATAATTATCTTCAAAATCATCAAGACTCAACCATCTAGTGTATGGATTATCCAGGTCTTCTCCTTATTGCCCATCCTACTGCCTTTTGTTTTTTTTTCACGGCTCAGTAATAGCTTCTCCACTAAAAGGTGGCAGGGTAGAAAAAATGTTCAGTCTTGATACTGGAAAGCACCTTTCACTTACTAGCGAAAAGAGGCTGAAGTGAACAACTAAAATAAGGTTTCTGGGTTCAAAAACTGGTTAAAATAGAAGACAGCTGTATATAAGTGGTAACAACAATAAAAATTCCTAATGTATTACTACATACAACACAATGCTCTTCTTAAATGGGCCAAATATTAGGTGGCAGAAAGCCATACTGACTGACACTAAAGTGAGAAGTAGTGGATTTCTGTTCTAATCAATACTGCTGTACTTCCAGAGATTCCATCAGAATAAATTACCCAAGAAATTTATAAAACAATAACATACTTTTTTAATCATGTTTTCTTGTTGGGATTCAAGAAATTCAAGTAATTCTGCTCTTGTAGAATTGTTCCATATCAAATATGGACTTTCTGTGTTGCTGTTAAGCATCTTCAAAATCTAGGAGACAATATTACCGTTTTATAACATTTAGTGAAAAAACTTATTGACATTATCACTTATTAAAAATGTCTATTATAGGCCAAACACTATAATAGTTGCCTATAGTATAATGGACCTCAATAATAAGTATCTCAATAATTCTAACAAGTTTATTGATATAATCCATTTTACAGCTGAGAAAAACTAAGACTGCAAATCATTAAATTATTTGTCCCAGATCTTACAACTGGTAACTGGTGAAACTAGGATTTGAAATTGAGTCTGACTTCAACATTCTCAAAATCTGCTGTGCCATGGTGAAATTCAATATTTTGAAAGTACTTAATAAACACACTGTGACTATAAGCTTGAAAAGAATCACAACATAATACCTTTATGTACATGTATTTGAAAACAAAACCTAAGTCTTTAAGAAGCATACCTGTATGAAGGAAAATAAAATTTATGGGGAGAAAGTCAGATTTTCCTGACCACACCCTGATATTGAAGGCTGTGTAGTCCTTCTGCAGGCATAGATTATGACTGCTTAGGCATCTGGTGTGCTTTCCTATTGTTGAGCTCTCCTCAATTTTAAATGTAAACACAGATATTTCACAATTCCTTAAATGTCTGAATAAAAATCTTTTATTTTTACAGAGGTCTACTGCTAATAGGAAAACAGAGGACTATGACCTCCATCTTATACAAAGACATGCAAGCCTTGTTTTCAAAAGGCTAACTTCTAGTTAAGCATTTTATTGAATCCAGTTGGAGCTCATGCCAACATTTAATTTTGAAATGCTATAAAAAATTTTTAGTGGGGGTGGCTATAAAGGTTAATCCCAAACTTGTTGGCATTTCTGAAGAGAATGCTTTCAGTCAGCAAAATGTATCACATTGGTGAGCAAAAAGTCCAGGAAAATAACTAACATCAGGAGTGGTCCCTGGTCGTCTAGTGTTTTAGGAAAAATAGTAAAAACAAAAACAAAATTAAAAAAAAAAAAAAAAACCAGTAGCATCTAGAGCTCCTGCCTTTCACACATGGGAACTGAAAAGCATGGCAAGCACTGAAAATTGGACTCAATCACATTGGATTAAAAACAAATAACCTGTTTAAAAGTTGTAAAAATACTTTGGAAACCTGAGGATTTTTTCACTTACAAAAGTCACAGTTCATCCTTAGCGAAAACAAAAGAAAAACTGCCTATAATTATGCCATTCAGGAATAATTACAGTTAACATATGGGTACAAATCTATCAATCCATTTATTTTGTTATACCAAAAATAGGATCTAGTGTCTTCATTTATTTTAATGTCTTTTAGTACTCTTTTTTTTTTTATAATTAAAGGATAATAGTAACCTGTTTAACTGATTTCTATAGTTTATCAAATTCTTTAGTGCTACATTCTCAGATTATTTCTCAATAATCCTTGCAAAAGAAGTTAAAGAGGTTGGGAGATCTATCATGTCATACTGATTTTTGTAATGCATCTATGTATGTACATAGATACATATACATGTATATGTGCATGTATGTATTTACTTTCAGGATTTTAACCCTGTGTCTGAATAAGCTATGGCTTACAATAAATAGCTTGAAATAGACTCTGGGTCTCCTGTCTCCCAGTAGTCTGCCATTGTGAAACACCATTCCAACTTCACTCTCTCGTCCTGTCCCTTTGTGACTCAAGGTTGGTAAGAATTATGATAGGCTCCACAGCTGAGAAACAAAGTTAATTTGCCCTTGCAAAAACTGGACTTGTAGAACTGACATCATTAGCATCAATCCATTATAAAGTGAATTTCTTGCTTGAGAGAACAAACATGTGAACGTTCTTAATTTTTAGGTTCCCTAGATCAATATTATTGTACTACTTTACTGCTTAAAGGATCTTGCACTATTGATTAAAACCCAGGCTACCTGTGAAGCACATACCTCAGTCACACTAGCCACAGCAAGTTTTCTAGCAACATAGGGTGTCAGCATGCCAGCTAAGCTTTTCCTTATGGTTGGATTTTCTGGAGTTGCTTGTTCTTCAGCCAAATACCCTCCAAGGCGACTCAGAGCATGGACACTCAGTTTGGCAAGGCTGTTTGCTACCTCCTGTTATAAAAAAAATTAAGTTGTTAAAGTAGATCTGTTATCTTACATAGGTAATACTATAATTTTACAGAATCACACTATATGGAACATATTTAAGGAGTAAAAAGTCAACCAACAAAAGGGTACAAGAGTACCTACCACTGAGGTAAACATCAGAAAGTTTATGTGTTGGGGCTTGTTTTTTATTTATAAGAAGGACCAGGAGAATCTATGTACTAACTTATACCCAATGCAGTATATCTCACAGACAACTGGAAGAAGCACATTTGGTGGTAATGTGGGGAGTAGGGGATAGGTAGGCAGCCCTGCCTGCTAGAAGCACACATTTACAATATGAGCAATAAATGAGAGCACATAGAAGAGACAGAAAAATATCTATAAAAATCAGACAAGTACTCAAGTGTTTAGGGGAGCTAGCCTCAACTGCCTGATGGTAACATTATATTGTCCTGTGTTACACAACCATAATTTTGCCATCATAAAGTTGACTCTGAGTAATTAAGAAATTATTAAATTATGTCCAGTATATGCTATTGCAAATTCCCTTGCCTGGAATCCTTTAAGCATAAGCAATTACAACTAAAAGTTTTGTAAGTAAGTGATTAGGTTTAAAAAGCAAAAAACCTAATTTTCCTGAAAAACAATTTATCTCTGGGGACTCTGGATAGCAGCTTTGGTTTGGATTAGTTTAACACCAACCTAAGGTTTGGGTTCAAATTCAATATTAAAGCAATGTTAAAGTTACCTGCTGGTTTGTTTCTTCACTTTTCTGAATGCCACTCTCTTCTAGTGTGTAGTCATAATTAAACAGAAAACCAAGGAGATACCACAAAATTCCAGCCTGAAATAGGTGTGTCTGTAGCCAGAAATCCACAGCAAAAGAACTGACACATTCTACCCCAAGAGCAGCTACGCGGGGAATACTCTGAGAGAATAAAAATGAGAGCATTAGTTGTTACAGAGTTAAAAAAAAAAAAAAAAGCTCCCAAGAGGAACTGGTTGTGCATGTATGTCAAGCCAACCACGTTATTTTGTAAAATGTTTACCTCTTCTTACATTTTCAATTCCAATTTAAATCTGAATCCTACATCCTTTAAAGCCTAAAATTAAAAGTGACCTCATGACGAGATACCAGAATTACTACCTTTAAGGCTAATGTCAGAAGACTTGGGAATAGTTTCCTGTTTCACTTCTTGTATTTTTAATTTTTAAAAATAGTGACATGGCATCAATAGCAACTTACACGCTAGTGATCTTAAATGTAACGACATATTTTGTGCAGTTGTTAAAAGATTTATTTATGTCAGTTTTTTATTCTGTAATCAAATACTTCTAAGGACATTAAGTAGATATAGTAGAGGAGATATTTTCATCAATTCCCTCACTTCTTGATACTTTAGTACTAGATCAGCATCTCGATCCTGTTTTATTCAAGACAATTCTCACTCTGCCCAGTTATTTAAGACATTTCTCTCTCCCTCCCAGTCATCTATCTCATCTACCCACAGTCAACCTTCCTCAGCAGGTCTGGATTGGGAGGAAATAGTAAGTTCTCAGATCTCTAAAGCCTTTCCCACCAAGCAGTGCCGAACTCTCTAGTTTTCAGGTTTTACATGGCCCTGTTTTTTTTTCTTTTTTTTTTTTGAGACAGAGTCTCACTCTCTTGCCCAGTCTGGAGTGTAGTGGCACAGGCTACCTCTGAAGCATATATCTCAGTCACACTAGCCACAGAAACATAGGGTGTCAGCATGCCAGCTAAACTTTTCCTTATGGTTGAATTTTCTGGAGTTGCTTGTTCTTCAGCCAAATACTCAGCCTCCCGAATACCTAGGATTACAGGCGCATGCCATCATACCCAGCTAATTTTTGTATTTTTTTGTAGACAGGGTTCTGCAGTGTTGGCCAGGCTGGTCTTGAACTCCTGACCTCAAGTGATCTGCCAACCTCGGCTTGCCAAAGTGCTAGGATTACAGACGTGAGCCACCACACCGGGCTGGCCTTTTGCTTTTAAAAGACTTATTTATTACAGGCTTCTCTTTTCTCCCTGCCACTCATTCTAATGTTCAGATGGAACCCACTTCCCTTTAGATGTATCACTTTAGTCTTTTTCTTTGTAGGCCAGCCTAGAAGCAAAGCCTCCATTTACAGCAAGGCTTCTGTGAAAAATGCTTTTAGAAATCCAAATAATTTTACTTACAAATAACTTTGGGAAAACAATGTGCTTATACATTAGGAACTGGCTAGTTGACAAAAAGACACTTTGCTGTCTGTATCTAGAAAGCATTAAAGATTAACCCTACCTTGCCAAAATATAGTACCCGACAGAGATCCTTGATGATGCTAGGCATTTCCGTGATCTTCTCTCGGCATTCCTCAAACTGAGCAGCCACACTGTAGCATTTACTTATGTATCCACACACCTGCAGACAACACAACAGAGCAAAAAAACCAGTAGAGTCACATAGGCATTCCTTATTTAACACATAGAAATCAAACCAGCAGAAATTTGTGAATAATGCTTAATGGTATATACAATGTTCCAAAATTAAACAGAATGTCTTTACTAGATCACTAGTCTTTCTCATTAAGATTTCCTATAAATGCTGGGGTAGTTGGCAAACCACAGCTACTACAACCCATGGGCCAAACTGACCATGGTCTTTGTACTGCCAAAGAGCTAAGAATGGTTTTTAGATTTTTAAAGGGCTGTAAAAAAGTCACAAAAGAAAATGTAACAGAGACTGTATGAAGCCTGAAAGACTCATATATTTACTCCCTGGACCTTTATTTTAGAAGTTTGCTGGCCTCTGGATTAAGGTAATTTTGTATAGTTTATTAACATAGCAGAATATCACAATTCTGTTTACACAACGGACTTCAAAATAGAGGATGGAACTCAACAGCCAGTACTCGTTTTATATTCTGAATTTTGCTGGCATAAGCAAAAGGTCAAATAGAAAGACACGCTCTACAAAGCTCTTAATGAACTCCTGATGAATTTCCTATCTTACAACCTTAAATGTTAAGCCAATTAAAATACTAGAGATAGGAGAGTGAGGGATGGAAGATATGTGAAACAAGAATGGCATTAAGCTGGGTAATGGAAACATATGGGTTCAATAAACTATTCTCTAAGAAAGAAAACGTAAGCCAACAGATCACAAGTGCTTTAGTACAGTTTCTTACAGTGTGATACACAGACCAGCAGCATCAATGACACTTGGAAACTTGTTATAAAAACATACTCTCAGGCCACCACCCCAGACTCACTGAATCAGAAACTTGGGGTGGGGTGGAGCTCAGCAACCTACAGTTTAATGAGCCCTCCAGTTGATTCTCAGATATGTTAAAGTCTGAACCATTGAACTAGTGCAATTTTCTTGGAACCACAGGTTTTAGCCTCACCTGTACTGACATGTCACTTGGTTTACTAGCACGAGTCAAGACAGCCACACAGCGACTAAATGCCTCTTGTAACACCTGCAGAGGAAGAAGTCAGCTATTAACTCTCCATTTTGACTTCAAGTCTGAAAGGCCTTTTCTAGCAGTAATAAAATATAAATAACCCTTTAATGTTAAATATTTGATACATAAATGTTTGATCAACATTTGTTAATAAATAGTAAACAAAGGACTCCTAAAAGTTTCCTTTTAAGCATTTCTAATAAGCTACTTTGTAAACAATATTACCATTATCGGTTTTGAACCCAATACTTTCCAACTCACATTGTGAAATAAAGCTCCATTTCTACCTTTAATTTGGTATAAGAATATGGAAAATATTGTGTTATCTGCTGAAATAAATTAAAGAATCTGCATTTGTACTTGCTGAATTCTTCACTGCCAAGAGTCATATAATGTGTGTAAACTGGCTTAAAAAGCACAAAGGTCACTCCGTATTACCTCTAGTCCATTCTCTCTTCTGAGCTCTTCAGCATTGAGGGCTGAACAGTTGACAGTATGGAAAGCTAGCTCTGTAGCCGCAGGCAACAATGGTGATTCTTTTGAGAAAAGGAGGTCATCTGAAGTTTCCATTGTTATAGTCCGAATAAGCATGGGGTATCCTGCATATTTATAAGGCTGTAAATCTGAAATAACCAATGGTTAGTGTTAGAAAAACAAAACAAAATTGATTATGTTGTGGTTTCAATTTTGATACCATGTTCAAGAATATGTTGCCTTAAAAAAATAAAAATGGGGCCAGGCATGGTGGCTCATGCCTGTAATCCCAGCACTTTGGGAGGCCAAGGTGGGTGGATCACGAGGTCAGGAGATTGAGACCATCCTGGCTAACACAGTGAAACCCTTTCTCTACTAAAAACACAAAAAAGTTAGCCGGGTGTGGTGGCAGGCACCTGTAGTCCCAGCTACTCGGGAGGCTGAGGCAGGAGAAAGGTGTGAACCCGGGAGGTGGAGCTTGCAGTGAGTGGAGATGGCACCACTGCACTCCAGCCTGGGCGACAGGGCAAGCCTCCGTCTCAAAAAAAATAAAAATAAAATAAAATAAAACGTAAAAAAAAAGATAAAATATTTTATCTTAACATCTTAAATGCCTCCTAATGCCAGTTGATAAAAAAAGAAATTAAACCTACTATAAAATCCCTTGGATCCTTCCTTTCTAGTAAACTTGGTTGATTTTTCTAAAATGTTTCCACTAGAAAAATAACATTTTCTGGTAAATTAACTGCACTTGGTGTATAGTTTTGATCCTTTGCAGAATACCTACTTTCTATGCTGATCTTTGTAACTTTTCACCTCATCACAGAACGCAAGGTACAGCAAATGCACCAGAAATTCTATTAATATCAATTATATGCACATCTTTATAAAGAAAAAAGACTGAGAAGACATTTACATGACACTGAATATTTTATATTAAGTTTTCTGGATAACAAGTGCCCTTGTTTATCTATTTTACCAGTATCTATTTTACCAGTTATCTTAAAGATAACTGGTATCTATTTTACCAGTTATCTTAAAGTTTTACCAGTATTTTCTTAAATTTGAAAATAATACAATTTCTTACTAGAAGTACAAAACAGAAAGTTAACTTTTAAACTACATTTAGTTAATTCCATGTTTTAATAACCAAATTTAAAAGTGAAAGCTAGTAAACCTACATGCCTAATTACTCTGTTCTTTCCATCTTCTTTTTTCAATCTAACCTATTAGGCAAAGAGATGCAAATTAATTGGCTGTGACTTTAAAAGTATCTCTATAATTCCAATTGAAATCAGCATAAATCTTTTTGACTTTTGAGGCTGACCAATAATCTGCCTTAAAACTCATTTCTAAACTGGCTTTTAAAAAAAAGGCCCCCTGGAACAGGTCCTAATTTTCCTTTAAAAAAAAAAAAAGTGACACATACGTAATAAGAAAGAACAGTGAATAACTAAGTCCTGTCAGATCAGGACCTCCACCTCAGAGCTTCTTGGGTATAAACCCCTCTTGGGAAAAGTTAAAGATGACCTTGATAACAGAGAAACCAGGATGGGCCATAACTGTATCTTGTGGCTAATAATTTAGTTATCAGCATTAAAAGACAACCAAGGGTTTTGAAAAAGGTTTCCAAACTCATTCTGATTAGTAAAAGCCATATATCTAAAATGTATTATAAACGTATTCTGTTAAACTCATGTAAAAGTAAATCAACTAATCACTGCTCTCTTTAATAATCCAACTGCTAGATCCTCAGGTTGTCCCCTCCAATACTTAAACTGCAACACCATCTCTTGTCTTTAGTTACCCAACACTCTCCATGCTTATCTCAAATCCTGAAAGTCCTCTTCCTTCTCTCCCAACATACCATAGCAAATGGCTCTCCCACTTTGTGCTGTAAGTCAAGTTCAGTTCCCAAGCCATTGGGCATCTGCCATATTGAACCTAACCCCTCATCCCCAACAAAGGGGGATGTTTTGAACATACTCCTGGCTTTCTGACTGCTACTGTTAGGGCTACTGCAAATGGCCCCACAAACACTGGATAATCCTGTAATCTGAAATTACACCTATTTCATCTATACCAGTGTTCTTCAAACTGTCCCACAGGACTAGAGGGTCCTGAGAGCTACAATAGGAAATAGAACGTATGAGAAGTATATCATCATTTGAAAAGTTTCTACTGCTTTTAAAAAATCTGAATGCTCTTGGTGTTTTTAACCTTCAGAGGCTTTTAAAGTTATGATAGGCTTTCATATGCCATTTAAGAAAACATGAAATGATCTTTAAATTCCAGATTCCATTCTGTCTCATTTAACACGTTGCTACTAAATGGCTAAACACAAAAACTAACCAAGTAACTCCACAGAGCGAAGATGTCAGAAATGCAAAATACTGAAAAACATAGTTATGAAGGGAAAGATATAAAACAAATATTTGGGCCCTTCTTTAGAAAACTACATTTTCCTTTATTTAAAACATAATTCCAAGAATCTTTTAAACAATAATTCTAAATCTATTAAATATGCTGTAGAAACAGGTAATATGGTATAGGGTTAGCTGTGATAAGGTTAGCTGGAGGATAAATTAAAATCTGAGAACAGACATCTTACCTTCTTTATGACGGTTGAAGAGGATGCTCTGTGTTTTTAGAATTAAAATTATATTCTCTGGATCTGGCCCATCCACTATTTTTGCTGATTTGGTACATAAAAATTCATATGCTTTATTTACTTTTTCAAACATGTCCTGTATGTAACAGAAGATAATTTAACGTTAATTTGGAATGTCGCAAAATTCAACTTAAACAAGACATATGGTTTGCATTTTATCAGTAACTTTAGCTATTATTTTATTGTTTATATTAAGGTATTCATTCCAACTGTAATCTAGCTGGTATACTGTTAAGGTGAAATTTTTTTTTCAAATAGTTGTCTAATGATCTCAATACCATTTACTGAAAATTCTTCAAATAAGAATATTAAATGTATCCTTAAATACATCATGTTAAACTCATACATACTAGAGAGAGTTTGCGTCTATATAACAAAAATTATGAGCTACTGTTTATTAAGCACTGTGCTAAATGCCATAATCTCACTTAATCCTCAAACAGCCATGTAAAGTGTGTACCATTATCATCCTCATTTTTTACATGAGGATGCTGCAACTTAGAGATAGTAACCTGGTTAAGGACACAAAATCAACTGGTGGCAGAGCTAAGAGGTACTCCTAACTCCATGCTCTTAAACTGTTACACTGTATGTTCAGTTATCTATATGTAGATTCTTGTGTCAGTATCATATTGTTTTACTATTGTAGCTTTATGAAGTGTTTTAATATCTGATAAGTCTAGCAATTTAAAAGATTTCAAAATTTCTTCCATTCTTATTTTTTCTCCTAGATGAATTTGAATTAGTATCAGGTTCTCAAAAAAACCCCTAGGGTTTTTATTAAAAATACCTTAAACATATGAAAGTCAGATCTTTTCAATGTCATGTCTTCTCATTCAGGAATACTGTCTCTGTTCTGTTTCCAGTGAAAACAGAAATCAGTGGAAATTATTCCAAGTTTCTAGCAATAGACTATCAGTCCTGGTTTAGGTGGTTCTTACGTGATTTCATCGTTTATGAAACATCATTGGATGAGGTGGCATCAGGGAATGATGATTTAAAATCTGAACTAAATTTTCTGTTTCTTCAGTTACAGTGATATGAAATTGGATGTCATTGGAAAAAATTACATAAATTGCCCAAAGCAATCTGAATAGCAATGGTATCACCTAAAACCTACAAATGAATTAAGCTCCCCTGAATTCCTTATTTTCAATTATTCTTATGATTGCCCATTAGAGTTAATTCTCAAACAGACATGGATAAGGAGACACAATAAAACCTGTAAGTTGCTAGTCATAAAGGCCACTCGTCTGGTAAACTGAGGGAGCATCATCCATGCAGAAACTATGGGCATGTGGCCAGAAGTTTATTAAACATACACTGAGTATATATTATGAGGCAGATACTGGCACAGAAGGTAATATACTTTTCTCCAACTACATAATAATAGAGCAAGAGGAAGCCCAATGCCTGAATTCCAACAGCAGTACATACCCTCCCTTCTGGATTCTTATCAGGGTGGTACTTTTGTGCAAGTCTGAAGTAAGCTTTCCTAATCTTGCTCTCATCATGCCTGTTAAACAGGAAAATTGTTTTATGAGTATAGTAAGGCACAAGAAAAAATAATTTACAAAACCATCTAAAATGATATTTTAAGAATCTAATATCAAGAATTGTATATGATTATATATTAGGCTTCAAATTAAACCCAGAAAGAATTAAGATTTTTTTTTTTTAACATGTTACTTTTATGGGTGAAAGATAAAACCTAAAAGTTCCCTACCCATTCACTTCAAATTATAAAATTATATTTGAGTTGGAAGAACTACAAAATATATTTTTAAAAATCCACTAACTTGTCAAAATGTCCAAAATGACAATTTCAAATTCTATAATTCTAAGTTATTATATCAGTCTTGCCAAAATATACAGTTTTAGTCTATACTTAAGTTTTCAAACCATTTTTCCATAACATAGTCTACTATAAAACTTCACTGATAAACAAGATAAATCTGCATTCTTTCATAATCTGTCATTTGGTGTCCTAGGCATATTGCTATCAAATCTCTTCCACATGCATAATACAAATTACAAAAGGAAGAGGAAAAATGAACATGTGAATGGCTACCATGTGTCAGATATGGTGCCAGATACTCTGCATACATTTTTCCAATTAATAGAGAAATGAATGTACCAGCAAGAAGAGGAGGATACAATTTGGCTAATAAGTTTGCAATAAATGAAAGTCACACAGATATAGTTCCATATGGTTATTCCCAAGGTGTATATATCAAAGTATAGGCAAAAGATTTTAAAATGATTGATTTAAATATAACTTAGTCTTTGATACTGGTACTTTAAGGTGGGACAGACATTTGCTATTGTACTGAAAACAACTCACGGTCCCTGTCCTTGAGGCAGATTAAGCACTTCATAAGCATCATCTATTGACATCATAGGTGGCTTCTTTTCTACTTCTTTCTTCCAGGCATCAAGGGTATCTTTTAGAAGCTTAACCTTAAAGACAAAAGATTAAAATTTATATCAAAGTAAAACTATTTCAGAGTATAATTTTTAAGTTATAGAATTATTGTGCTGTATTTATTTAAATGGATACTTTTAGCTGTCCAATTAACAGCTTTCTGAAATACAAATAACCAAAATCACCTGAGCACTGCTGTATAGTTGGGCAGAGCAAGGTATTTGTTACAAGGCAATATTCCTCTATTTAAAAAATTTTTTAAATCCTCTGCCAATCTGTGTTATGTATTAGGCTTCAAATTAAACCCAGGAAGAATTAAGATTTATTTTTTTTTACATGTTATCTTTACGGGTGAAAGATAAAACCTAAAAGTTTTAATTTTTAAAGTGTCCAGAAACCATGAAAAACGTCAAAATTAGATGATACACTGTAGTAAGAAAGCAAGCAGTATATTGTGGTGTGCTTCTCAAGGTGATCTAACATAATTATGGGTATGCTAGCATTCAAACAAATGTAACGGATAGAACACAAGGGAATCTGGTTAGCAAATGGGAAAAAAAAAGCTCTAATATTTATTGCCTGCCTATGTGCCAAGGAGCTAGGTACTTTACAGACTATCAAATTTAATTCTTGTCTAAAATTTGATCAATAAATAAAAACACTGAGATTCTAAGAGCTAGCTGCATGTTTCCCAGTTTAGTGGTAGAGCTGGATTAAAACCTAGGT